>NC_000004.12:155891077-156194108 GCF_000001405.40 Homo sapiens | reverse complement strand
CAGAGAAAAATAAATCAAGAATATACAACTGGATTTGGCTTCCACAGATGCACCATCTGTCTCTCCCCGTTATTTCCATTTTTGGCAGCATTGCGAAACCCAGCTTCCTGGAGTAGTGCCACCAGAGCAGACTGTGCAGGTGTGGGCTCCCAGCATAGACACGTCCTCAGATGTTAGAGGAGAGCACCCACTCAGCAATCTCTTGCTCCATTTGGCCAACTTCAGAAGTGACAATTCAAGGACTGCCTCTCAGCAGGTTTGAAATCATGGGGAATACTGTATTCCTTGTACTAGTTTTCCCAGTGATGTCAATAGGATTATATATCTCCAATAAATGAATGATTTAGAACTGTAAAAACTGAAGGATTCCGATTACTCACAGGGAGAATGAAATAAGCTGAGAACGCCCCAGCAGCTTGTCATCCACTGCAGACCCCTCGATGATGTCACAGAAACAACAGTGGAAAGAGTGTCTGTGCCTTAACCGGGAGGTCACCTTAGCTTAGAATGGAAGTCAGCGTTCGACTTGACATTTCATTAAAAGTGTTTTTGTTTTTGTTGTTGTTGTTGTTTTTCCTGATGATTCATTGGGATGTAAAATGCAATTGAAAAGATACGAATAAAACAGGCAGGATTTTTTTTTCCCCATCTGCCTCTTAGGAAAAGTAACCCTTTTGATAGCCCAGTTCCTTTGCTGTTTGTTTTTGCTACTGTTTTTATTGGTGGTCATGGACCAGGCATCAGGACTTGGGTTGAGAGTCAGGAAACTGTAGTTCCTGCCCTGGCTCTGCCCTGGGCTCACAGCAACTTACTCATATTTCACTGCAGGACTTTTCTCTCTAGCAGATGAAACTGCCCCCGCCTCCCAGAAAAGTTCTGGGAATTCATGAAATCTTTGATGTACTCTTCAGAGAACTCAGGTTTCTACTAGAAAGATAAAATGTATTCCATTTGGAGAAAATAAGAAGAAGGCAACAGATTTTAACTTGGAAAACATATTAAAAGGCAGACAGAGCAATAGAAAAGCATGAGCCCTCTACTATGTTCATCTTCATTCCTGAATGAAACAAAGAATTGCTTGATGTGCTTTAATCCAATGCCTCTAACCTAAAGTCTTTCTCATATTTCACTTGCATAATACACTATAAAGCATTTATATTAAAAGCAATGCCAAGTTATTGTTTGATTTTTTCCTTCCTCCCTCACACAAAAAATAAAACATCAGCATTCATTTATAGATCCATATTTAATCAGACACTTCCAATACTTATTTGATAATTCTCTGAAAAATGCCATAACTTCCCACTCTGAGATCACATTCATATTTAAAAATCATTCCATTACAAAATGGAAGCTCTTTCCTCTATGTCATTTTTTATCAAATGGGGCCCATTAGATTTTATTTACTGAGATGGTTTACTTATTTCCTGGAATCTGATTTTATAATTCTTCCCCCTCTGGACCTCATGAAAATGAAACTTTTGACCTTCCTTCCCTAAAGCTTTTTAGGATGGGGGACCAACTGTGTGTGATGGATGGTTTAGATGACAGTGAATCTCAAAAGCTTACATACAGGGTGGTCTAGGTAAATTTGGAAATTCCATTCACCTCTAGAATTCAAATACATCAAGCTATGGGTATGTGAGTGTGTACCTTTGTGTGTGAATGTTTAGGGAGTTTTAAGTTAATATAATTCCATCCTGCTATTTGAAAATAATTTAGTCCAATATAAACTGTGAGTTGACCCAGACTGTATTGCCCTAAAAGAAAAATTAGAACCAAGCAAGTTTCCCATTTAATTCAACCCTCTAAGATGCATTGACAAACAAAACAAACTTCAAAGCAAACTACCACAGCTTTCTCTCAACTTTGCCAACTCACTTTACAGGCAGCTGAGTACTTTGAACTTTTAATTTCATTTCCAAAGCTTAATTGGGAGCAACTAAACCATTCCCAATTTAATATCACCAGCCTATAAATTGCAGCTGAATACAGTGATTGGATCACAAAAATGATGAAGCATTGCTCTTTGAAGTTTGGCTGTTAATGCTTCTCAATCTGTAAGACTTCAAAGGGGCAAGTTGGGCCCCTCCATCACCTTTGCTTACCTGGCCAGTTCTCACCACAACTTCATAAACAGCCTAGAGGCACTTGTGTTCTGCTAATGAGAGCACATCCATGTTTTAAACAGTAAACTTTAAACTTAGTTTCCTACCTGCAAATCATTTAAAAGAAACCTAAATTTATGTTCTTAAAAATGAATTTGCTCCCTTTCTATTCTTTTATCTGTGTCCATCTAATTTGCTTGAAGATATTAGTTATCTTGCTTCTGAAATATTAAGATTTGTTTCTATTCAACATAAAGTTCCATGATTTTAAAAAATCCTTTAAAGTTTTACTATTATTCCTACACTTAGATACTGCACTATTACTTTCTCCCATACGTCTACTGCCTCGCTATCTCACACACACAAACCTGGGACTTTGCCTCTCTATTTTTATTTACCTTTTCATTCTTGAAGCTTCTGCAAATATTTAAAGTGTCTGGTTATACAACAAGGTCACTGATTTGTTATTAACAGTTCAATGATGGAAGAGTGTTAACAATTATTCATCACAAGCTTTTAACTATCCAGAGATTCTCCATTTAAGGTCTAATATCAGAATAAGGATTTAATTGTTAGATGTATTTAAGGGAACCTTGAACCTGAGAAGAAACTCCTGGCAGTTAGGTAGGATAACTATCCAAGTGCCTGACCTGGACACTTTATAAACTAGTCTGTCCAAGAGGGTTTAGAGGAAACTGTCTGGAAGTAGTGGAATGAACTGAAGTCCCACAGCATCCTTTGATTCTACATTAAGCAGGGCCCAGACCACACACAGGCACTTTTTATAATGTTGCTCCCTTGAATATCTGCTTTCTTTATGGAGCAGATGGGAAGACAGAAAAAGCACTTTTTATCATAACAGAGTCTTACAAATGAAGATGATTTTACAGTACAGATAAAATTGCTACAATAAAAGATAAAATATTTATATTTATCAACTGGACATGGAATTTAGTCCCAAGTTAAGAATAAAGAGTAAGAAAGGTGTACGGTTTCTGCCTTGTTTGGTTTGAGAATGTTTATCTTCTCCTAAGCTACTCTACCATAAGTTGTTTTTGTTGTCTTGGTGGATGTTGGTAGCATGTTGCTTATGTTTAGTCTGTACCATTACATATTTTGTGGTCTGGTTTTGACTCAGAAGGATAATTCCAAATAAGGAATCATAAGAATTTATAAGCTCAGCACTGTGGGACTAACATATGTTATGTTCAAGCAAAGGGAATTTCCTTAAAATGATGAACTCATGGCTGTGACATTTCTGTGACCCAAGAATGATTTGTAAATAGGTCTAGGAAAGAATATAATAAGTTTCCTTCCATTTCCTTGTAAGGGCCAAGAAGCTGATGATGTCTTACTAAAAGCCTGTTTTGCAAGTTTGTGAAATTTTAAGGAAGATTTTTCTGAGCACACAGGTACTCATGAGAAATTAGCAAGTATAGTCTAGACCAAAGATAAAGAGCACTTATATCATGGTAACCTGAAACATCTTCATGTTCAAACAATACTTTTATTTAATATGTTCATTATGAAGACAGAAATTGAGAAAAGTAAACTTGCCCTAGGTGATTCCATACCCCTTTTCAAAAACCCTTTTTTCAGAAGTGTTCATTCAGTTTTTCCTCTTCCAGGACAATCCCACTGTACTCCAACTTCCCAAGTTTACAATAAGTGAAATTTCTTTTTTGCCCTTCTGTTTCTGTGCTATAAGTATTTGAAGTTGTCTGAGAGTTAATAGGTTCAACAAGATGTAACCTACATTAGCATTAACTGAGTATATAGAAATATTTCATTAATAAAAATAAAAACATTATTTATTGAGTCCCTATTATATAACAGCATTCTGCTAGATACTTCATAGACATTATTTCAATCCACTCAAAATATGTCTGCAAGATATTTTTGTCTGCATTTTACATAAGAGAAAACTGAAGCTCAGAATTATTCAGCAAATCCTGCAACAGAAGAATTAAAGTTTACATGACTAACAATGGACAGAGGAGGGAATCAAACCAAGGTTCACTAACTCTAAGGTTTATGGGATTTCCATTATACTCCACTTCCGCTCATGATTTTCCTGCACTGTATAACAATGTTAAATCCCCAAACAAAACCTTGACAAACATTTTTTTTTCCTGAGCCATTATTCTATTTCATTTTCCCTTTCTCTTTCTAATAGTCAATTTTTTAAATACTGTTATTTTACTAACTGCCTCTCCTTCCTTACCTGGTTTTACTCCTTACTTCAGCTCAATTTGGTTTGCACCACAAATCCTATACTAAAAGTTCTCTTGCTAATGTTATTAAAAACTTACTCATTAATTATCTAGTGGCTGCTTCTCACATGTCATCTAACTGAGCTTATCTCTAGCATTTAGCACTGTTGACAATTTTCCATTCATGAAGACCTTTCTCGAATTCCAAAACATTCTCCTGCTATTTCTTCTACTTTTAAAACTCAGTCTATTACATTATCTTAATCTTGAGCCAACTTCCTCTGGATGTTTTACAAACTTCCTCAGTGATCTCATCAACTGCTTTTAACTACCAAATTAATATTTCAATCTAAATTTCTAATCTAGTACTCCATGCCAGTTTCACCCCCACATATAAAAATGCCTTCTTGAATTGACCACTTATTTTTCCTTAATATCCTCAAAATCAACATGTTTGAAAAGAACTCATCATTACTGCTCTTCTAATTCATCCATCCTAAATTATCTATTTTAATAAATGAGTTCAAATATATTTTGGAAACCCAGTCCAAAAATCCCCTCACTATCATGGACTTCTCATAATCTATATATCCAATATCAATATTTCATATATCCAATCAATGGTTTTACCAGTTTACAATTTCTTGAGTCTATCATTTCCTTTTCATTTGAACTTCTTTTTCTTGACTTCAACTCTAATTTCACATACAACAATTTTTTTACTGGTATCTCTGCTTCTAGACTTGCCATTCTCTCATTGCATTCTGCACAATGAAGCCTAACTCCTGTGTTTAAAGTTACTCAATCGCTTTTTACTTTCTTTGTGGTAAAATTCAAAATTTTTAGAAAGACAGTTATGGCCCCACATGATCTAGCCTAGGGCTTAGCAAACATTTTCTGTAAGAAGCCAAATACAAAATATTTCAGGCCTTGCAACCACAAGGTCTCTGATATAGTTACTCAACTCTGCTATTGGGCTAAAGCAGCTGTGGACCTATGTAAATAAATGGGCATGGCTGTGTTTCAATAACATTTTATTTACAAAAATAGATGTCATACCACATTTGGCTGGAAGGCTGTCATTGGCCAACCCCTGATCTAGCTAGCACCCACCTACTTCTTCAGCTTAACTTTCCTCATTCCCTACCTCTCATGTTGTGCTCCAACCAACATCAACTATTTTGAGTTTCTTGACTTGTCATGCTTTTTTTTTTTTTTTTTTTTTTTGAGACGGAGTCTTGCTCTGTTGCCAGGCTAGAGTGCAATGGCGCAATCTTGGCTCACTGCAGCCTCTGCCTCCTGGGTTCAGGTGATTCTCATGCCTCAGCCTCCCGAGTAGCTGGGATTACAGTTGTGTCTCTAAGTCTTTACACCTGCTGTTGCTTCCTTCCTTCTAGAGGAATATTCTTCTAAACTTTCTTTTCAAGCATAATTTCTATTTACCTCTCAAAATTCAGCTAAAATCTGACATCTCCAGGAGGGTTTCCTCAATTTTTCACATGCCAGCTTCCATATGTTACCATATAGTTTTTCACACACTGATACAATGTTCATTTTAGCTGTATTTCCCACTACCTTATTGTGATGTCACTAATGGCAAGTACTATGGCTTTTATCTTATTATTTTCCAAGATCTCTGGACACTCTTTTGTATGGTAGATGTTATAAATTCATGTTAGTAAATGAATTAGAACACACGAATGTGTATTTTGAAATTCATTCATGATCAGGCCAGATGAGGAGAGAGAATTTTTAGTGATTGCTTAGAAAGGAAAGCTATTTGGGACAGAAGACACCTGTCAGAGAATTTCAAATCTCTCCATGTAGGCCACTATCAATTTCAACAACCTAAGACCTCATAAGCAAATGGCTGCCATCCTTAACTGTTTCATTGATATATACTTCCCAGAAAAAAAACCAAAGATGTGACCTCGGCTACAGAAAATAAATTGCATGTTCCACATTTGGGAGACTATTCAAGGATCAAGATTCTATTTCTAAAGATACCTGGATCTGTAGACAAAAATCATCTCTGTAACAGAGGGATTAATTTTTAGAACCTCTGGCATCTGAAAACATAAAAGGAAAAAAAAATTTAACCAGGTATATTAAAGAAAAACATGTAAAGTAGAAAAACAGAAGCAAGGATGAGCAAGCCTGTGTGAAATACTTTGATCAAGAAAACAGTTTTACACAAATTATTTTCATTAATACATGTATCCGTATTTAGGAAGACAGTGAATCTACTTTGGTTCCAAATGAAATTATTTTAGAAATTCTATTGTCACAGTTAGGCAGCTCTGATGTACATGTGGTACTCTTGCCCTACTATTAAGAATAAAATACTTATGTTGTCACTTGCCGCTGCAGTCCATATACATCCACACACATACATACATTATGTATGTGCACATATATGTATATATGTGTGTGTGTGTGTCTGTATGTATGCGTACTTCCTTAAAAGCAATGTGTGTGTGGGTATACACACATGCTCATTTATCTTCTATTTCCTGGAAGAAAAGGCAGAAAATGTTAAGTAATTTATACATGGTAACATAGTTCACAAATGGTGTTGTGTATAAAGTCAGTCCAGTGCAAAACCAGTGCTCTGAATGCATATACACAGCACTTCCACACTGTTATTGATAGATGAGTCATAAAACATGTTGCTGATTAAAAAATAAGCTTATGAAATAAAAGTCAGCTGAGTTAGGACTGCAGTGGCAACTGATAACATAAATATTTTATTCTTAACCGTAGAGCAAGAGTAGCACATGTACATCAGGGCTATGTGTCTGCAACAATAGCATTTCCAAAATAACTTCATTTGGAACCAAGTAGAGTCACTGTCTTCTTAAATACATATATGTATGTATGTATGTGTGTGTGTGTGTGTGTGTGTGTGTGTAGGAATATGTGTGTGTATGTATGTGCACTTCCTTAAAAGCAGCATATATATATATGTGTGTGTATATATATATATATATATGCACATAAATTATATATATGCAAATGTGTATAATTATAAAGTCACATTATATTTTGGGGTCACATTACCTTATATAGTAGAATGAAATCATTTGACTAGCAAAAATTAATGTCATATTCTCCCCCAATTAAAATAATGACAATAATAATAATAACAATAAAAACAAAAGCTCATAGAGAACTTACTATGTAGCAAACACTCTTAATACTTTATAAGCATTCATTCATTTAAAATTCATTCAATGACTTGTAGCAATCTATGGAGGTAGTTAATATTATCATTCCCAGATCAAGACACTGAATTTTAGAAAATTTATACAACTTGCCCAGGGTCACACAGTGGCAAGGCTGGGATTCAAACTCAAGCAGTCTGGCTTCTGAGCACGTGTACTTAAATACCTCACTCTACTGACTCTCAAGTTGTAAGTGGAATGTCTATTCTGGGGTGTGAAAGCTACTTTTCATTTTTATGGGCCCTATCCACATTCAAATAATGAAGAGAACAAGAATGGATTGCCAGTTTATGATAGATGGTTGTTATTTTACTGTCAGTGAACCAAATTCCAATTCTAACACTAGAAGCCACTGGCCTGTTTCTAATAAAAACAGAATACAAAATTAAGCATAAATCACCAAAACTTTTATAAAGCACTTCCTTAAAATCAGCATCTAAAGGAATATAGCTTCCATATTTGCAAGAGACAATAAAAGAAGTTAAATATATACACAGATCTCCTTGGTGTACAATTCTAAAACCTGATAAAATGTCTATGGTGCCAAGCGATCTGTGAGAAATTGAAAAACAATAATTACCTTATCTGTTTGCAGTCAGGAAAAATGAAAGTACTGTTAAATGGTGCACAAAAGAGATTAGTATGTTCATTGAGAATATTCTAAATTAAATAGAAAGGTAATACACCCTTTTCTGCATTAGCATATAAACAGCTCCTTGAGGAAAATTGAAAAGCTGTAGTTTGTGCGGCTGGAATGAATTTTATGGTGGTCATTGGGGCTGTTCACGCAAGCACCTGTTAGGGCTGCAATTCTTATTTTTGAACATAGGGGATGCCATGTGACACATGTCACTTCGGGGCACAAGTTAAAGAGCCCTTGTGCTTTGGACCACATTTCCTTCCTTTGCTGCCCTGATCACAGACACACACATCAAGAGGCTGTCTTTGTCAGACTGAGATGCTTCATGAATATAATGAGCAAAGAATTGGGGACAACCAGCACCACATGGATGAGAAATACATGTTTGCTGTGTTCAGTTTAGGATTTTCTTGGTGGTGATGTTACTCCAACCTAATCTAAGCATTCAATCAAATGCAAATTGACCTCCACAAATTCAGGTTTGCGAAAAAAAAAAAAAAAAAGACATTCTTTTATTTTCTTTAACAGAACTGGAATTTAACTGAAAGCTTCCATTTTATTGGGCTGGCCGTAAATGTTATTCTATACTGGAGTTCATTTCGCATTCCCTAAATTTTACCAACATTCTAATATTTCATGGCAGTAAAATGGCAGGGAATTTCTTTTGGTCTTCTCTTCCCATTGGACATCCCTAGAGAAAACCATCCAGGCCTATATGATATTCAAATACGTATAGGATATTCAAGTGTCATATGGGTATTTAAATAAAGAAGACTTGACTATTTTAAGGAAGCCAGTTCGTGCCCAATAATCTTGTTGAATGACAGTCAACCTTCTCCTTTCTAGGTACACCATGCAGAGAGTGATCTTCTGACAGTCTCACCTTCACCTCAGGTCTTAACAATTTTCACTTGTAACACCTTGAAGGGGGGAAGGATCCAAGTGTTATGGGACTTGAACTTAAATAGTTTGGGAAGATCTCTTTGAAAAACTAAAATATATACATATCAATTATTCATCTTCATCTGGGTGGGAGTTGCCATGAATATGTATTGGTAATAATTTGCTTAGGATTTGTGTACCTTACAATGTCAATGTTATATAGAATAAAACGTTTAGGGAAAAAATATGATTTTGAAATTAAGTTCAGGACTTGGAAGACTCTCTTCCACCTAAGAGCCAAAGAGTACGTTTCACAAGCTTCAAGGTAAAGTAGTGCCTCTAACCTTGAAGCCCCATTCTGACCTCTGCAGCCCTCCAAGCCTGGGTAGATTCTGTTTCTCTTAACCCAGGATAATCCTCTCCAGGAGTAGGGAAATTCAATAACAAATGTAAGGAAGGGGCCTATCTTTAATTTCCCCTGAGGGAAGGGAGTATATGTTCTAACTATTGGAAATGGAGGGAGAGCGATTATACCAAGAACCGTCAGAATTAATGTCCCAGTAAATTACCCTGCCACATATAAATGTAAAGAGAAAGCTACACACGTTTTATAGAGTTTCATTGCAAATGATCTTGCATGTTATTCACTTAAAATATCACATGCATCTTTTTTAAAATAAAAGATTATTCCGCCTTTCAAAATAAGGAATCCTGTCATTTGAACAACATAGATGAACGTGGAGGACATTATTCTAAGTGAAATAAGCCAGGCAGAGAAAGACAAATACTATGTGGTCTTACTTATATATGGAATCGGAAAAAAGTCAAACTCATAGACGCAAAGAGTAGAATGCTGGTTGCCAGGGGCTGGGGAGCTGGGGAAATGAGATGTTGATCAAAGGGTACAAAGTTTAGTGAGAAAGAATGAATAAGTTCTGGAGATCTAATGTATAGCAAGGTGACCATAGTTAATAGTGTCACCACACAGACACACACACACAAGCACATGCACACACACACACATCCCTATGTGGGGTAATGGATGTGTTAATTAAGTTGATTTAGTAATTATTTTACAACATGTATATATATATATATATCAACACATCGCATTGTGCACTGTAAACATGTATAATTATTTGCCAATTATACCTCAATAAAGCTGAAAAATAATTACACTGTTATCTAGCATACATGTCAATACTGGCCCACACCACCTGGAAATGTCTATAATCATAAGAGAAATTGAGAAATGCAGGGTCACGTTATATACGTTTTTATTTATCTTACGGTACTTGAATGTAAAGAAACATAATCCAAACAAAAGGTGGCCTATTAGATAAAAATATTTTCTGTCTTAAATCTGAATAATAAAGAAGGCTTATTTTACTATAAATGAAAGTTAAGGGTCCAAAAGACAGTAAAATATTTGTCACGTCATCTAGACAATGATCATTGCTAAGGGTTCTGAAACAATTAGAAGTCCTCTATTGTTTGATTTTGAATGGTCTATAAACACTGGATCCTCATTCATTCTTCAACTCATTCCCAAAACTGAATGATGAATTATATTTTTTACATAAAATTTCCTAGAGAGGAGTGAAAAAGCAAGCCTTCCATGGTCTCCCCTCATAGGCACCTAATATCAGATCAATAAGTTACATATTTTTGAGACAATTCTGCTGTAATAATTAGTGGCCCTACCTACCTGGATTGGTCATGCCAATTCTTTTATGTATTTTGTTTGTTTAATGTGGCTCTGACAAAACTTCCTATCTTAAAGAATTCTGTCCTTTGTTAATAAACTTGATTGCATTACCTGGCACATGCTTCCTGTATTATATTAAATCTATGATCCATCTTTTACTTCCTACACATATGATTAGTTCTATTACCCTCATAATAAGAATGTGTAACACTGTAGACCTTCCCATGTGAACATGTTTTGTGCATACAAATAATTTTTCCAGTTCCGAAACGTTTTAAGAAGTTAAATTTCACCAAAAAACCTAAAATTTAAAGTAGGAAATTAAATTGATGTTGCCTAAATATGGATTGATTTCTCATAGAAAACCACTTCAAAAAGTTTGCTTTCTTAAAATGCTTTGAATGCTAGTAAAATATTTGGATTCAGATAGTAATTTTTTCACAGATGATTCACATAAATAGTAGCTTTAGAAGAGTATATAAATTAACACCAAAACTGCAAATTGATTATAATTGAATGTCATTATTTAGTGAGACATTGAAACTTACATATGAGATCATTAGAACCACACTTTTTAGAAGCTTTTCATAAATATTTATATATAAAGATGTAGCTATGATTTTTAGTGCCCTAGCAAAAAGGATTGCTTCATTTTCAAATGCCATATTATTTGAGAAAGTGAGAGCTGCTTTTACATGTTGGCTACAAGTTATGGATCTCTCTGTCTCTCCTCTCTCTGTCTCTCTCTTTCTCTGTCCTATTCCCTAATAAACCAGTAAAAGAACACTAAACAAAAACACCTGGTTGGATTACATGACATCACCGGTTCACTAGGAGAGTTCAAAGCTCTTTGTAAATATTTTGCTGCCTTACTAGTAATCAAACTACTTCCTGAGTGCATTGCTCACCTATGAAAGTTAATTAACTATTTCAATGCATTGGGTACCATTTATTTATTGCATGACAACTATGACTTTAGAAGTTGTATAAGCCATGCTATGAAAATAAATACAGTCCAGGAACTCAGAACCTAAATGAATTTTGTAGCCTAATATTTCAGTTTAAGTAAATAAAAAAATCTTTCGGGCTATGAATAACGCTATCACATATATTATCTCAATATGTAATATCTGTATAGAAGTCTTTAGAATTTTACCAAGATGATGACGTTTTAAAGTTATATGGCAATATATAATTTTTTCTCCATAAATAGACTTTTAAATTAAAATATTAATATTGCTAGGAGATCAAGAAAGAAAAAATGTAGACAGTTAAGAAAATATACCCAGAGAGAAAGTGTAAAATTCAATAATTAATTCTATTTATTCAATTCAATTTATTTAATGTAAAAATAACAGTAAATTTTTATTATTTGTTAAGAAAAGTAATTTAAAAACTAATATCTACTTATTATTTAAAATAAAATCAATCTATTTTAAGGTTATCTTCATTATAAAATGGTTATAGGCATATTACTTTAAAAAACAATATCTAAAGGTGGAGTCATATATGAATTGTATCTACGTAACATTTAAAAGAAAAATAGTACCTAGATAGAGAGTAAAATACATAATGCTCCATAAATTCTTCTTCCCCCATCAATTTTTCAAAGTAGCCTGTTAAGTGTTGCAAGGATATCATTCCAAATATGTTCTTCATTAACTCAACATAGGCATTTAAGCTATTAAATAAGATTATGCTTTTTAAAAAAGTCATGAGTTTATACCATATATGATATTCTGACAGTAGTATATTTTTACTTGGTAAAATATTGTAGACATTTTTCAATATTAATTTATAATATTCTACCTCATCTTTTATAAGGACCACCTGGTGATTCATTATATGAATATAACATTTATTTAAACAGTCTCCTAGAAATTATGATCTAGATCATTTCCATGTTTTTTTCTTCTTATAAAATTAGCAATGATGGAATATTTATTTATGTGAATATGACCATAAAAATTTTTTAACGAAATTAATACATCAAATTGTTTGAACATTTTAAATATTTATAATTATTGATCAATAAATTACCTTCCCATGAACACTATATAGTTCTGATTTGTCCAAATATTTCTAATACCAAGTCTTATCAATTTGTGTATTCTCTGCAGATTTCATAGCTGAACAGCATATGAAATGGCAATAATGATAGCAATAGCAATAATGATACTAGTACTTCATTATTGTATAAATTTTTATTGATTTTCTTTTGATTGACGTTATTCATTATTCTGTCCTTACCTGTCACACTTTAAAAAAAACTAGAATGTTGACCCTTTTCCTTCTGATTTATAAGTACTTTCTTATATAAAGGATATTGGTTTGCATCTTGTATATACAAATTGAATAGTTTGTATGTTTTGAAATTTATACTTTTTGCATTTTCCAAATTTTGTATTTTTGCTGATGGAATTATTTTTCCAAATGTAAATTTTTAAAGAAATACTATAAACATATTTTAGTCTTTTCTTTTTTATTATTTCTGGGTTTTATGCCCTATGCCAAGATTATACAAAACAAACAAACAAGTACCTCTCTTCTGAAAGTTTTATGATTCATTTTTACCTTTGAAAAATTTTATGCACCTGGTATTTTGTTATAAGGACTGATCTGAGGATACAATTTTACTTATTTCCAACGAGTAAGTCATTTGGCCCAGCACAATTTGCTGAATAATCTTTATATTCACCCCTGGTTTGTAATGCTTCTCTTCCCCTATCTTTCTGATCTCTCTACTTGGACCTGGGAATTGGTGCTGTGATGCCATGTTGTTAAGTTAAGGTGAGTTATAAAGTATATTGAAACATTTGCTAGGCAGGCAAGCCATTACTTTCATTTTGGTTTTCTCCCTCAGAATTTTATAATAATTATTCATGAATGTCTACTTTTCCAGAGAAACTCTATAGTTATTTTATGAAGTTCCAATAAATAACTTGTAATTTTAACTAATGTTATATTGGATTTAAAGATTTGGAAGCTCAACATGATAAGCTTCTATCATTTAGAATCATGAGTCATAATATTAAATGAGTAAAGTGACTATCATAGACTGCAGTGCTCTGTCAACATAGTCTCCTCAATTGGCATGTTCTTACAGCTCTTCATAAGAAATAGATCTAAAATTAGCATACGGTTATAAAAATTTGTTACATAACCATCTTTCAGGCTTGAATTCTGCCCTAATCGTTCTAATTGTCAAGTTGCTGATAATATTCTGAGAACCCAGTTTCCTAAATCTTTCTCAGTAACACACTTTCTTTAATATTTGAAAGTCTTAGCCAGCCTGAATATTTCACCTCAGGTGTAGAGATGCCTGGGTGATGTGGTTGAATGAACTCTGCAGGTGAAAAGCCGCTTAGTCTATATCTTGACTATTCCACTTATTGAGTGACACTGGGCCAGATAGTTCACCACTTTCAGCTGCTATACCCTCACTTGTAAAATGTGGCCACTAATACTGCCTAGTAGGGTTTTTTTTTTAAAGATTACTGCACATAAACTAGGTGCTCAACAAGTGGCACTTTTATTGTTCAAGTAAACCACCTGTTAATGTACAGTGCATTTATTGTAAATGGCCCAAATTGATGAATCTCACCAAAATTTTTCTTATATCAATGGCTAGAAATATGTGAGAGTCAATCATTTTTGTTCTTTTTCCTCTCTTCTACTTATTGTATCTTACATCTTTGTTGGGATTACTCATACATGATTATGACTCCCCATTTTCCTGCATACCGCTGTCAATTATTCGCAGATGGATTCCAGAGTAGAAGGCTTCATAATCTCCATGACTCTAGGCTCTAAAAGTTATTTTTTAAAGTATATTATACACTAAAAATCTATCAGTAAAAATAGGAATAGCATCATTTTTAGGCAATGTGTTATATTTTCATTACGTTTAGTATTTCCCTCCTCATAATATCTAATCATTTAAAGGTCCTCAAGATGGTACATGGCTAAATATGTAAAGACAGAAAGTAACTGAACAAAGATACAGTTATAGCTATAAAGTTGATGTTCTTTTCTTAAGGCTTCATGGACTATGCTATCTTTTGGTATTAAGTAAGCCAGGGTC
This sequence comes from Homo sapiens, assembly GCF_000001405.40. Taxonomy (NCBI): domain Eukaryota; kingdom Metazoa; phylum Chordata; class Mammalia; order Primates; family Hominidae; genus Homo; species Homo sapiens. Next base: position 156,179,249 of record NC_000004.12, on the reverse strand, counting down.
TAAGCAATAAAGACAAATATACACATGCAACTCATTATTGTCACTTTATACTAGATTAATCTCTCAAGATCACTTTTATTATGCCATTTACTCAACTGAAAAATAAGTTATTTTCCTCTTGTCTACCACATCATGTCTAAATATAGGAGCCCCTATAACCTGGCTCAACACCCCCAGTCCAACCTTATGATCCTCTATTCCCCCAAAAGTACTTCTCCTTTAGTTATCCTGGTACTACACTATCCCATTGATAAGCCCTGCTCATGAAAATATGTATCATCTATTGTGCAAGTGAGACATTTCTGAGAGTGAAAGGGGAAGCTATTAAAAATTAGAGTGGGACGATAGTCATATCTAGGTTTATTCCAGACAAAATGGGATGTATGGTAACTCTCCCCTGTTCATGGCCTCCCTGTGCCCTACAAACACTTTACTTTCTCTTACAGGTATCCTCTGAAATCTGACTCAGATCCTGCCATCTTCAGATACTTTTTGTCATGTCAACACAAATTTATCTTTTCTCTGAATTCCTTTAGCACCAAACTACTATCACATGTTTCAATTGTATTCATGTAGCATTGTGATTAAACTGTGATCTCTTTTATGGAAGTTGGCAGCTAATTGTTTTATATAGTCTTTCAGAAGCCTCTCCAGTGCAGGGGAAGTGACAGATACTCAGCAAATACCTGTGGAAATAATTGGATATATCTTTCCACTCCTAAGCTCTCCTGATTATCCAGGAGCATAACAAATTAACTATAATATTAGTTCATTATAATTTAAGCAAGAACATTTTAGCTTATTCCATTCCAAAATGCCTTTACACAAGTAGCAAATAGAGCTCAGAATAAATGTATTTTAATAAAACTAAAATGAAGGTCAGAACATAGGAGGCTGTCTGGGAGGACTAAGCCTGTATGAAGAACTTTTTCAGCTGGCTCAAGGCAAGAAGTTTCACCTTCTGAAGGAAAAAAAAAGGCATAGAAAAATAGAATAAGAATGGACTAAGGACAAATTCTTCTTATTTTAGAGTTGTTCTTAGAGCTAGCACTGTCTGGAATCTTTTTTTCTACCTCATTAACTTATTATGCAGAGGCTGTTTGAAAGTTCGCTGCGCTTTCTCATGCATTCCTGCCCAGTCTGTGGAATGAGACTACACTGAGTATATCCTGAATATCTTCTCATATATAATACAAACCAAAATTATTATGTAAATGATTCTTTATTGGTGTGCGAGGTTGAAGTTCACAGAAGATGCAATCAACAAGCATAAGAATTCATCCCATAAAGATAGGCTCCTCTTTCAGTGCATTTTTACTGAATGCATATAATTCAAACCCATTTCAAAGGCTGTCGGATCCAGGTTTGGTGTTAAGTTCTGTATCTGGTAAAAGTACTGTAGCTAGATTTCCTAATTTCAGATAAGCATGATTGCAGTTTTCCTCAATTTTGTTTCCAGTTTCTAGAACTGCACTTAATTAAAAAATTGGTACATTATCTCATTCTAGTAATTTTCTTGGAAAATTCCCAGGCTGTCTAACTTCACTGAAGACAAGAAATGTAATATAAGTATTGTGTCAGCTCTAATACTATTGGCCACGTATAGCTGTGTAGAACTACAGCGTAATTCTCTGAGCAAGCCATTTCATTGACTAGATGCTAAAGACTAAACTTCTTACTTAATAAGATGTATTTTCAGCCTCATGCCATTTCTGATAGTTGACTTAACTGAGACGAATGAGGCCTAAGCTTGTCACATGTAGTTAACTGATCATTCATTAAGCATTCAAGTTAATATGCAAAATCTCAAAACTACTATTTTATTATTAATCAAAAGAAGAGTTCTACATTCATGTATTTATATTTTTCTTTTATAATTTAGAGAAAAAATGATCAATTCTCTCCACAGATCATGCAAAATCTCAGTAATCCCTGGCCCACCCTGTGATAAATAATATTTTTTAAAAAAATAATGTGGAATCAGTGCCATTTAGCACTTGTATCTGTATTTTAATTATGTTCTGTGTGAACAGTGAGATCAAACCTTTTCATCCGTCAAGAAATGCCTGTCTTTCTTATGGTAATAGTAAGCAGTACTCTGGATACTGTGCTGAAGCATCTTGTTAGCACATAAAATTGCAAGGCGTCAACATCTTGCTCCTTATCTCCACTATAAAGACCTGGCATTTCAAGAAGGAAATGTTATCAGCATTTCTTACCTGTGGCTATATTCAGTAAATTGTATAAGCTGTTTCTCTGAGGGAAAGGAAACGTGCATAAAATTCATGTACTGGCATTCTAATTTGGGGGCCATCAACTCTCAATATGGCTTGTAGCATGAATAATTTAGCTCTAATCCTTTTTAAAAGCCATGTTATAGCTGTTCTGCAGTACGTTTCAGTCAGCATGCAGAATAAGTAAGTTACAAATGTCACATCATAATATGACCTTGACAAAGTAGGAATTAATGGTATAAAGTAATTAAAGAATTCTTCCTTTCAAATGTCCTCTTTGAATCCAGTTTCTTCCTCCTTTCTTCCTTCAAGTAACACATATTTATTAAGTTTTTGAAAGAAAAAACTAGCTCTTGTGGACTATAGAATGTTTTAAAAATGAAATATCATAAAAACGGAAATTAAAATTAGCTAATATTTCTGTCTTGTCATTTTGATGATTTTTTTTCTGGGATCTTCTCTACATATGTAATAATATATGCATGTGAGTATATGTACATACATGTCTGAGTATTACATGTGTTTACAAAACTTACATTGACTATATAGTTTTATATATTTTAATATACTTTTCTAACTCTGAAACATATTTTCATTGCTATATCTAAATTACTTCTTCACTGTATACCTTCAATAGATGATTTGGAATCTAGTAATTGGTATTTATTATGTACCAATAAAATGAAGAGCCCTTAATAACATCAGCAACATAACAGAATAGGAAGCTCTAGATCTTCTTCCTCATGCAGAGACAGACACCAATTCAACACCAATATACAGATAAATTATCTTTTTGAGAAATTCAGAAGCTAGTTAAGTGGCTGTTACAACTGAAGAAAGCACAAAACTAGCTGGATCAAATCTTGTAGGAAAACTTGTGGCACCTTCTTGCCACAGCATCTGCCCCTGGGACAGTACCACATGATTGAGAGGAAAGTCCCAGCTCCCAGCTTCTTTCTAGGGAGGTAAAGAGAACACTGGACTATACATTTAATGTTCTGATATTTAAGGCCATCTGCCTAAATAGGCTTCTGTTTAGCCTGTCTCAGTGTGCTGATGGGACCTAACATAGCACTACATGCCTGGGAGCCACAAGGACAAACAAAAACAAAAATAAAAAAGACCTGAGTGGGTTGCTGTTACTCCAGAGGATCCTCTGTATAGGCCAATACAGCTCGCCAGCCTCTCCTACTGTGAGTAAAGAGAAGACTGGAGAGAGTGACTAATGTTCCGGCTTTTTAGGGGGCTACCTGAATGAATGGAGTCTAGTCCAACTGATGAGATCTAACGTACATTAAATGCCTGGGGCTCTGCTGACAATAAAAAAGGAGCTGCTACTTCACAGAATCCATGATATAGCATAGACAAGAGAGAGAACAAAAGAATATACACTAAAAAAAAAAATACCAAATCCCCCTAATTAAGAATCTAAACAAGTAAGTGCACAGAAACAGAAAAGTATTAAAAGACTTCCAGAAACTCTAGCTGGGCTGATTAGTGAAGGTCTTTCCCTGTACAAAACCTACCCATAAAGACTAGGAAATGTGGCTGTTTTTTTAAAAAGTGTGAATACCAAAACAAAGTTACAAGACCCATGAACAAAGAGGGGATATGGCTCAACTGAAAGGATCATTATAAGGCTTCAGAATTTGTTACAAAAGAAATTAAGGTATGTGAATTATCAGAAAAAGAATTCAAAATAAATATGAAGGAGGTCAGACAAATGAACAAAAGGAGAACTTCAACAGAGAAAGAAAATATATAAAACAAAAAACAGGACATTCAGAGCTAAACAATGCTATAACCAAACTGAAAAATTCATGAGAGGAAGCAGATTTGATCAAGGAGAAGAATCAGTGAACTTTAAGACATGTCATTTGAAGTTACTGAGTCGAAGAGAAAAAAAAAAAGAATGAAAAACAGTGAAGAAAGTCTAAGAGACTTATAGGACATCATCAAGTGGACCAACATATGCATTATGGATGTTCCAGAAGAAGATAGAGCATAAAGGATACAAATCTTATTTAAATAAATAATGGCTGAAAACTTCTCAAATCTAGGGAAGGAAATAATCATCAAGATACAAGAAGTCCAAATGACACAATGAGAATGAACACAAAGATGTCCACACCTAGAAACAGCATAATTGTCAAAAGTTCAACACAAATGGAGATTTTGAAAGCAGCAAGAAAAAAAAATGTCTCTTCATATAGAAGGCAGTCTTCATAAGAATAAGTGATTTCTTATCAGAAACCTTGCAGGCCAGAAAGGAATAGAATAATACATCCAAAGTGCTGGAAAAAAACAAACAAACAAAGAAACAACAACAAAAACAACAAAAACCCACTAACAACAACAAAAAAACAGCTGACCAAGGATAATATAATGCAAAACTGTTCCTCAAAAAAAAACAAAGATAAATATTTTCCCAGATAAACAAAAGCTGAAGGAATTCACTACCACTAGACCAACCTTACAAAGAAATGCTAAAGGGAGTTCCTCAAGATAAAATGGAAAGATGCTACAGAGGAACATAAAAGTGTGTAGCTCACTGGTAAAGATACATATATAAAAAAATACAGAATACTGTACTAATCTAACAGTAGTGGGTAAATCACTTTTAATCCTGATGAAGTCCTACACACTGAATGTTAATGTCTCCATAATTTATATGCTGAATGCTAATTCCCAATGTGATGGTATTTGAAGAGGGAAAACATTTGGTAGGTGATTAGTTCATGAAGGCAGAGCCCTCTTCAGTGGAAGTAGTGCCATTATAAGAGAGACTCCAGAGAGCTCCCTCACCCCTTCCCCCCATGTGACCACAGCAAGAAGATGGCCATCTGTGAACTAGAATATGCCATTGCCTCAATCTTGGGGTTTTAACACTTGAGAAATAACTTTCTGTTGCTTCTGAGGCATTACGTGTACAGTATGCTGCCATAGCAACCTAAACTAAGACAGAAATTGGTACTGAGAAATGGAAGTGATGTTATAACAAATTCCTAAAAATGTAGAAGTGCTTTTGAAATTGGATAATGACTAGAGGCTGGAAGAGTTCTGAGGTGCAAACTTAAAAAAAATTTACAATACTATGAATGGACCTTTAAAGGTGATTCTCATAAGGAATCAGGAAAGAGTAAAACTATAGAGAAAGCCTCAATCTCCTTAAGGAATACTTTGGTAATCATGAATAGAATGTTGGTATAAATATGGATGGTAAAGACCATACTGATGAAGCCTCAGACAGAAATGAACATGCTGTTGGAAAATGGAGGAAAGGTGATTCCTGTTACACAGTGACAAGGAAGTTGGCTGAGTTGTGTTCATGCTCTAGTGCTTTGTAGAAGGTGGAAAGTGTGAGTGATGAAATTGGATATTTAGCTGAAGCTATTATTAAGCAAAGTGGTGAAAGTATGGCTTGCCTTCAACTGAAAGCCAATATGGAAGCAGCTTAGCTGCTGTATTATATTATGATTACAGTGAAATGTGAGAAGAGAGAAATGGCTAAAAGACATAATTTTTCAGTAAAAAGAAAGCAGAACTTAAAGATTTGAAAAAAAAACCTAGCCTACCAATATTGCAAAAAAATGAGAACACTATGAATGTCGCCAATTGTCCATTTGATAAGGAGATTAGTATTTATCAGTCATCTCAACAAAGGCCAGATGTTATTCTCAAGACAAGGGAAGAATAGCTCTGAAGGTGATTCAGAGATGATCAGGTTGCCAACTCCCATCACAGGCCACAGTGCATGAGCCTTCAGGGCCCAGCTGCCTCCACCTAGGTTTCAAAACACAGGACCACCTGGAGCCATGGGACTATGATTTCAGCCTGGGTGAGCCAAGGGCATTGGACCCAGCCCAACAGATCTGTGGGACCCCAGCAGAAGGCTAAGGCAGAGAGCCACTGTGGGACCATCTCTACCAAGCCAGAGGACTGACATTACCACTGTAGTAGGCCTGGAAGACGGAGTAGCGTGCCAAAGAGGATTATTTTTGAGCCTCAAAAGGTAATAAAGTTTGCCCCAGTAAGTTTTGGACTTTCTTGAAACCCAGTACCCCTTCCTTCCTTCCTTCCTGTTTATCCCTTTTGGAATAAACGTGTCTATCCTATACCTGTCCCACACTATTTTCTGAATGCATATAACTTGTTTGGTTTCACAGGTTCACAGCTGGAGAGAAATTTTGCTTCAGGATGAATTATAGTCTCATTCATTACTAATTTAGATGATATCTATTAATAGATGAGGCTTTGTATTTTAGACTTTAGAGTTGATGCTGGAATAGGTTAAGACTTCGGGGGTTATTGGGATAGAATAAATGTATTTTGCACGTGAGAAGAATATAAACTTTGGAGATCAGGAGCAAAATGTCAATATCTAAATGTTTGTGTTCCCTCAAAATTCATATGTTGAAACTTTACCCTCTGACGTGATCTTATTAAGAGATGGGGCCTTTGGAAGGTGATTAGGTGATGAGGGCAGAGCCTCATGAATGAGATTTGTACCCTTATAAAAGAGACCCCAGAGAGTTCATTTAATTTTTCAGCCATGTGAGGACACAATGAGAAGACAGCTGGCTATGAACCAGGAAGACAGCCCTCACCAGATACCAAATCTGCTGGTTTCTTAATCTTGGACTAATAAGCACCATGAGAATTTAATTTTTGTTTAAGCCACCAACTTATGGTATTTTTGTTATAGCACCCCAGATTGACTAAGACAAGTACAGAGATGACTTTTTTTTTCAGAGAACTTACAACAGAATATATTTTCTAAGAAAAGTGGCACATGTGCCTCATCTTTTTTTATATCTTTATGTAGCAAATCAGTCATTTAAAAACTAGTGTGTGCCACGTGGGGTGGCTTATGCCTGTAATCATAGAATTTTGGGAGAATGAAATAAGAGGATCATTTGAACCTAGGAGTTTGAGACCAGCCTGGGCAACATAGCAAGACCCCTCTCTATACAAAAAAATTAAAAAATTAGCCAGGGGTGATGGCATGCGTCTGTAGTCCCAGCTACTTGGGAGGCTGAAGTGGGAGGATCACTTGAGCCCAGGAGTTTGAGGCTGCAGTGAACTGTGATTGCACCACTGCATTCCAGCCTCAGTGAAAGAGCGAGACAGTGACTCAAAAATACTAAGTAAATACAATTAAAAACTAGTGAAACATTGAATGTTTAGGAAAAGTAAGCATTTTTTTTTTCTTATTGTAATACATGTTCGTTGTAGAAAATTTAGGGGAAAAAAATCTATTCTTATTGTCCAGGGAATGTTGGCAAAAATGGCCTTTGTTTGGATAATTTGATTGTTTAATTTCCTTTCTCTGGACATATTTGAAAACCCTAAAGTTATCAAAGTAAATTAAATTCTCCATATTTAATTAAAGGTTTGCATGAAGGCACATTTTGGACTGACGACTTCTAAATTCACATGGTCAACACTGAGAGTCAGGCTCTTTGAACTTTTTCCTGATAAAAGTTCAGAATAAAGTTTAACATGCTTAATCATTCTTAAATTGTCGGGTTTTTCTACCTTATTTCCTTTATTTCTTTGTAAGAAAAAGAAAACTTTGCCAAATGGTGGGGGCGGGGAGTTAATAATGTATTTTAATAGAATGTTAGACAGTTTCTTGATGAGCTCAAATTATGAAATAATGCAGGAATCATATAACTTATTAATAAAAATATGTTTACATTATAAAGCCAAAAACAATGTAGAGCCCTTTGTTAATTGTATGGCAAGTGGCATGTGGTAACCTTCAAAGTCTGACTGCATTCCCTCATGAGTGTTCACCATTTTTTTTTTGGAGATGGAGTCTCGCTCTGTCGCCCAGGCTGGAGTGCAGTGGCTTGATGTCCGGCTCACTGCAACCTCCACCTCCTGGGTTCAAGCAATTCTTCTGCCTCAGCCTCCCGAGTAGCTGGAACTACAGGCGCCCACCACCATGGCCGGCTAATTTTTGTATTTTTAGTAGAGACGGGGTTTCACCATTTTAGCCAGGATGGTCTCGATCTCCTGACCTCATGATCCGCCTGCCTTGGCCTCCCAAAGTGCTGGAATTACAGGATTGAGCCACCATACCCTGTGGTGTTCACCTTTAGAAAGGGCTCTGATGGTGACTCTGATACATATGCAAAATAACCTTCTGAGAGATTTTCTGCCACTTAGGAGTAGAAGATGTTCTCTTTGCCTCCATCTCCAGAGTAAGGGAATAAAGTAACAGTTAGAAGGTAGAAAAATAAACGGCCTAGCTTTCCCCTCCTGATTATATCAATCAAAAGTGAAATTAGCAGCCCCTGCCATATTTGTTTTTCATCTCTTGCCCAGATTATGTCTGCATGGAGGGCTGAGAATAATATTTCAGAAGAAGCAGGTAAACTATAAACAACCACAAGCAGGTTCCCCTTTACCCTCCTCTCTTTGGTTACTATCAGTGTCTAGGAGCATGTCCTCTGTAACCACGCATACTTTAAAATTGTGGATTAACTTGTTGCTTTTGAATTGTTTAGCTTTCATTATAATATCTAGATATCAGCTTCTGAAGTTTTAAAGAAATTTTGTTATTAAATGAATGGTATTGCTGATCATTACAAGCAGTTTCTTCAAGATGCCAATATCTATACTTAAAAAAATTCATTGAATATAGTGGAACTACTATACATGGTGTGCTGAGGTGCATTCCTTCCAGACTTAGGGTCCAGTGATGTTCATGTTTGCTTCTTGAAACCACCCATAGTAAGAATAGTTACATCAGAAATGCAGAAAAACATTACAACAAAGGGCATTGCTCTCCTGGGAAGCTGGTTGTTAATGCATAAACCTGAGTAAATCTCTGCCAGTCTTTGGTCTTTTTGCTCTGGGATCCATTCTTCAGCTTCCTCCTAATCTGCAGTGTTCTGCAGATGGCCGTCTCCGAGATGCATTCTTGGGTTCCCTTGTAAGCTGGTTGCCAGCTGGTTTCAAACAATGGGAGCCACCTACAGGAAATTGTCAGATGAAGAAAAGGAAAAGCCAGACAGGGACTCTGATAGCAATGGCTTCTCCTCTGTAGCTCTAGATTTTGCCAGAGAGTTGGACATAGTTTTCTTCCAATGTGTCATCTTGGCCCTTGTAACACTGCCTCTTCTCTTGTCCCTGCAGACTTCAAAAGGTAGCAACTTCTTGTAGATGCTAATTTATGAGTTGCCTCCGAGGCCTACATTTGGCTTCTCAGCTCTTCAGAGTTGCATGACCAGTTCCCTGCATAAAATGTTCTTTATTTTCATAGTAAGTTGGTAATATTCTTTAATTTTGCTAGGAAAGATAAACCACGCCGTAAATTTAACAGGAATTTAATATGAAATAATTATTAAACTATGATAGGAAAGCAACTATAAAGATACAGAAGCAATTCTAAAGGGAACCCTATGCTGAAGCTGACTTTCAAAGGAAGGACAAACTTAGAAGGTGGGACCCTCTTCAGGGCTGAGTTCTCATCTTGGAGAAAGCATGTTTGCAGCTCATGGAATAGCAGAGAAGTTTGTTAGGTTGGCTGGGACAAAGCTGGTCTGCATTCATCACACAAGAAAGAGATAAACCTCCAGGGTGCTGGCAAGCCAGGTTGGTCGGCAAGTACACAGAGGAAATCTGGACACTCTGTGGGTGTTATGGGCTTGGAGCATGCAGTGTCAGTATGTTCGGGTGGAGATAAGAAGCCTTGGGAAGGTAGTCATAGGGCTTAGGCAGGGCCTATGAGGTCACTGACGGATTTTGCCTTCTGGGTGTGTGGCTGGACAAGGCATCACTGAATGTTCTTACACACCCACACAGCAGGACTGCAGCAGGAGCCAGAGAGGGCTGAAAATCCAAAGCAAAACAGCCAAAACTGGAAAGAGAAGCCCCTTCCTTCTGTAATGTGACTCCAGTGCCCTCTATTGACAAAGCTTAACATGGTGCTGTGCTTAAAGAGAAATGTTTAAAGCAATCAGTCCATTACTTCAGAGCAGGCACTGAGGGGTCAATTTGGAGGTAAGGGCAATACATAGAAATTAACACAGTGTATTTTCTGTGTTCCTGGTTGGGGTCTGATTAATAAAATTCTCAAAGTTAACGCCTTCATTTTATATTGTTATTTTGTCCTATAATCTTTTGCTGTTGTTCAGTTTTAAAATATCAGATATTTATCATTATTCTTGATGACTCAGTTTCCTTCATGCCTTGGCCTTGATTTAACATCTTTTTTGAATGTGCCATCTACTTTCTACCTTCTTACCATCATGCTAATTCGTATCCTTATCATCTATCTCAGGGAATAGTGTATTTATTCTTGAAGTGAGAAATGACTAACTGCCTCTTTAAATGAAAAATGACTAAGTCCTTCTAATTTACCAGACACTGTGCTTGGCACATGGAATAGTCAGATGTGATTCTTTTTTCTTATATAGCTTAAACTTTAGTTTAGAGATTAAGGACACTGACAGTTGTATAATTAAAAACATTAAAAATGTCCCTGAAATGATGATGATGATGATGATGATGATGATGATGATGATGACAGTAATAGATATAGTCATACACGAGAAAATAGCTAGACAACCTGAGACCAAAGGTTATGCCTGAAGGAGCTGGTGCTTGAGCTTAGTATGATGGCTGAATAGAGGATAATTAGGTAAAGGGGTGGGAAAGGGCATTCCAAATGTAGGGCACATGTTTAAAGGCAGGAACATACTTATTTAATGATCTTCAAGGAGGCCAATCAATGTGTCTGGCATAGAGAGACAGCAATACCGAAGCATCCTAGGAGATGGGGCTTTAACAGCAAGCTAATATTTGGACCATGTGACGATTTGAAAACAATATTAAAGATTTGGGTGTTTTTCCCAATAGCAACGACAATTATTTCCAGTAACCTCTTAACTTGTTAAGCTTCCCTTTTATAGTTTTCTTCTGGCAAGCCTCCAATCTGAATTCTATGTATTTTTTCCAGTTTTTCTTTACTACCATAAAAATCTATTCATGTAAATCCCTATCTTTTTGCATATTGCACTCATATACCTCTTCTACCCTGCCATTATTCTAACCCCACTAAGGTAGGCCAGCCTCCAAGATAGCCTTCAAAGTTTCCCTACTCCATGTTCTTGTGCGGTTGAATCAGACTAAGTTGTGTAAATAATTGCAGATTGTGAAAATGACTGTGTTCTGTGGCATCATCCTTTATTCGTTCTCCTTCTCTCAGATCATTATCTCAGAAGGAAGCCAGTTGCCATATTATGAGAACACTCAAGAAACCCTATGGGGAAACCCATGAAGCAAAGAATTAAGATCTCCTGTCAACAGACAATGAGGAATTAAAGCCTCCTGCCAATAGCCAACATAAATGGAGGCTCCTGCCAACAGCTATGTGAATTATCCATCTGAGAAGTGGACCATCGTTTCTCAATTAAATCACAAAATGATTGAAGTGCGGGCCACCATCTTATCTGCAAGCTCACGAGAAATTTGGAACCAGAACAACCCAGCAAAGCCACTCCCAAGCTCTAACTAATGAATATGCCCATAGTTAGTTACTCTTTTGTACTCTTATCAATCGATACTCTCTGACTTTCAGTAAATCTGACCCCTACCAATTACAATACCAGAGAGAGTAGTTTCAAGAAGCCATCCAAATACTGAGTTTCTTTTGCCCCTAATATTCTGTTACTGATATCTGGGAAGAAATTCCATATGATACTTTGGTCCTTAGGAGATGCACAGGCTTAGATATATGTAGAGTCCCATTTATAAGTATGCACAAAATATTATAACAGTCACTTTTAATCGACCTATACAAAATGAAAATCTTAGATCAAACATGTATCATACATTTATTAGAATGTATTGTGATTATTGATTTGTTTATAAGACTTCTCGTTAACTTGTAAGCTATTTCTGGTTCCGAAATCTATTGGAAAAATGTAATAGATACAGAGAATCATGGGGCTCAGTAAAAAGCATCCTATTAATATTATATCAATTGATCGCAGAGTCCTAACTCCTGTGAATGTGTGCTTGTAAGTTTGAAATATACACAAGATCAGGTCACTACCAGAAATCAGGAAACCAAGAGTCTTAAGAGGCAGAATAAATACTGAAGGACAAACAGTAGGACAAATGGAGAAAACAGACAACTAGCCAAAATCAAACTTTTTCAGGCATCTTAGAGAAGAAGTAGAACAAGAAAATGGAAAATCACCAAGTGATCTAGAGGTATGTTTGAAATGATTATCTCTCATCTGCATTTTGAAGCCAACATTTAAAGAGAATCTTGTGGCTGTTGTATGATGAGACATTCTAAAACATTTTCTAGAAATGAATTTAATTTTTGACTGACTCATGCATATCAGTTCAGATAAAATAGGAGTGTAGTATTTATCCTCTATTTTCTAGTTCCAATGGTGGAAATTTTGCAAATCCACCTTGTGTACTAATAATATTCAGTCTCAGTACTTCCCATACCTGATAATTTCTCAAGACAAGGTGAATCATGATAACTTTTCTCTGCAGTGATAGCTAAAAGGTGACTCTGCATCATAATTTCTTAGTAGGACTCAATGTAAAACTTACCTATTTCTCTAGAAAAATCTCAAGAAAATGGAGCATCTTAAGCCACACTTCGCCACCTAAATTCACTGGCTCAAAACCACAGTGGTAGAGTTGCATAGTGGTGAGAGATCATATGGCCAGAAAAGCCTCAAACATTTGCTATCTGGCTCTTTGTAGAAGACATCTGTTGATCATTGATACAAAGTAATGAAAAGGTTCTATAAGCCACATATGAAAATGCAATATCAAAGTAAAACCCAATATTCATGATAATTGGTGATTGGCTCCTGTGTTTTAGCCAGACTCATTCTCCAATGACGGCAGTCTAAAATTTGTTATTGTTTGTTTGTTTGTTTATTCTTCTATGCGAGGGTGGGAGAGTTGAAAATGAGAGTCCTGGTGATTATTTGGAACTTTCTCAGCCCATGACAATTGTTCACGTTGTATGGAATCAGTCAACTCCCCACCTATTAAGAAAATATCACTCTCCCCCCCACCTTTTTTTTTTTACAATAACTGGTAGAAAGCTGACTGAAAATACTATTTTTTTTAATTACTCTAGTAACAATACATCCCACATTTTCTATGAATAGAATCCACTTACATTTTAAGACAGAATTTTACTAAACTTTGTTGTTTTATTTTATATAAGATATTCAGAATAAAAACCTGAAAAATAATATAATTTCCAGAATGAAGACGAGTTTTCTGATATGATAAAGGAGAACTGATTATATGGAATTAAAGATTTACTTCTCAGTCATAAGAACATGTCTGGAAGTATTGTGTAGGTTAATATTCATTTGTCATATTAACAAAGACACTAATTTTCCAAGTTGCATAGAAATCCTGAGGTATGAGGTAAACACAAAACAGCATTTGATGAAAAAATGTTATATGTCCCCTATGATTTTCATCTACGGAGTCATTAATTAAGTCGGATGGTATGAAGCAGTGGTATCAGACCTGAGATAAAACTTGTTGAGAAACAAGCATCTTCCTTTGTGGAAAAAATACCAGACATTTAAAATCACAAAAGCTGAGACTGATAGACCGCTGCTTTTGAGGAATATAAATTTTCCTTGTCTCTCCCAGCCTCTACAAATATAAATGTGGTCATTATCAGAATGTGTTTCCTGTTCTAAGCTTCAGACTCTTAAACCCAACTGCCTATTTTCTAAAGGACATCTTTAAATAAACATAACCAAAACTAAATATTTCATTCCTTTATATCTCTTAAGCCTGGTCCAGTCTTCTATTTTACTCTAAACTGTACCAGTATTCACCCAATTGCTCAAATCAAGAAAGACAAAAACGAACACTTATGTATTACCTTTTGATTTCTCCTTTTTTAAAAAAAAAAACCCACATCTAATATATCGATATATCCTAATTGTTCTACCTACAAAGTATTTTTGAATCTGTCTGCTTCTCTCAAACTCAGGATCATAATCATAGTCAATGTCATCATTGTCTCTTCCTCAGAACGCTGAAAACCTACTTATCTATTTAGACTCCCTCCTTTCCATCTTTGTCTCCCACCACTCCACCGTCTACACAGGAAGCAGAGTAATCTTTTTGAAATATAAAACAAATCACATTACTATCCTGTTTAAAATGGCTTCTTACTGCTTTTATACTATAAAATCTATATTATTAGCCATGGCTTACATCTTGAGTTGATCTTACCACCACAAACACATTCTCTTATGCTACTCTACCCTCCCTAATTCTGATCTTCCTAATTCTGAAAGAAACTGAAAGACACCATGCATTCTTCCATATCAGACCCTTTATATAAATATCTACTGATCCTTGTATTTAGAATGGCCAACCCATGATCTTCATATTTTCACTAGGCTGATTCCTTCTTAAGCTTTTAAGTCTTACCTTAAATTTGGTGCACTCAGAGAGGCTTTCTGACCATGCCCTCAAAGGCAGTGGCTTACTCACTGAGTGATTGTTCTCTTTTCCCTATTGTTTTATTGTTTAGCTCCTTTATAGTACATGATATCCACCGTTAAGTATTCTGTTGATTTATATACATATATATCCTGTCTCTCTCTAAATTGGAAGATCCATCCGGGCAAGAACCATATCTATTTCCTTCAACTTTGTATCTCCTATACCTTATATGCCACCTGGGATATCTAAAACATTCAAATGTGTTTGGTATGTGAATAAATACGAATTAGGCTCCAAGTTTAATTTGTCGTTAATTAGTATGAAATATAACACAGAGCCTTGCACACATTCATCTGGTGTGGAGTGAAAGGAATTTGTTTATATGTGGAAAATGCTGTAATCATATTTTAAATATGCTTAGTTCAACAGACAAACAATTGAATGAGTTTAGCAATGTTTCAAAATGTTGTGCGGCTAGAGTTCCTTATTTCTTTTTGTGATAACTCATGTGAGTTATCATCTTAATTTCCAAGAGGCTTCAAAGCAAAAATCCTAAGCAATGATATTTTCTCCTTTTCCTTGAGTCAAATTCTGCTTTTTGATATTTCCAAAAGGCCAGAAACACTGATTTGTTTTGACTATGTTACTTGTTTAGTACTTGAAATGATTAAAAGTTTAAAAACTTCATTTTTTTGTATCAGAATTTTTATGGAAATTCCATACTTAAAAACACAGTACTCTAGAAATTAATCTGAAACAGTGTCAGTTAGAATTTTGTTAAATGTCTACCCCACCCAAATGAAGAACATAAGGTTTAATATAATGCTGCTATAACTTTGCACTCACTGTGTGCCAGGAACTTTTCTAGGCACTTTGTATATATCAAATCATTTAATGCACCTACAAGCCTTATAAGGTAGGTACCATTATTATTCTCATTTTGAGGTAAGAGAAATGAGTTACATAAAGGATAAGAAACTTACTGAAGATTAAAGTTAGTAAGTTACAAAGCAGAAATTCAAACCCACAGTATGTGTCTACAGAATGCAAGCTCCCAACCCATTACACTGTACTACTACCTTTCTAAAACATTTCAATCATCTTTACAGGATTGTTCAAAACCAGCTCCAATAAAACCAATAACATGATAGTACATAATATCACAAGTCAAGCCAGAACAGGAAAATTATCAAAGTAATAAATATTCCTAGCTAGTTAACAAAGTAAAGCAATATTTAAAAACAAACAAGAACAAAACCAAAACCAAAGCAATATTCTTACATAATTTCCTGGATGGAGAATAGGCCTCTAAAGAGTTATATTTCATTGATCTGGGTCACAGGTAACCCAGAGTTTAGTTACCCATAGGTAACTAAATTCATATTTAGTTGAATAGGTCATAGTGCTATTCAAATTGGGTAGCACTTTAAAAAAACATTTAGGTAGTAATTTGCCAAGCTCCTTTTGAGTAACTCTTTAAAAATGAGGGTTTGCAATGAAGAAAACAATGAAGAGAATGTGATCCTAGAAAAGAAAGGACATAGTATGACTTTTCAACTACGTTCTTTGCTATTTCATTTTTTTCCCCTTACATTCAACTTCATCATGGAAGGAGGCTGTACTGGTTATCAGCAGGCAATTTATCTTCTCGTAACTAAACTATATCTATACCGACACTTGTTATACTGTAGTCAAATGTGAAAGGAAAATTTCTGTATGTGCTTGTCTCTATGTATGTCTTCATTATAAGTTTATTCCTCAACAACATAAGTTTGAGCTGCATGGGTCCAATACACTTAAAAGTGGATTTTTTCAACCAAATGCAGATAAAAAATACAGTATTCACAAGATGCAAAACCCACCTATACACAGGGCCTACTTTACATATATTCAAGTTCCCCAGGGCTAACTGTGGGACTTGCTTATGTATAGAATTTTGGTATGGGGAGCAGGTTTTCTGGAATCAATCCACTACACATATCAAAAGACGACTATAATAGTTGGTGGGTGCAGATAGTTTTAGTTTAAACTACCAAACAGAGTATAGATATTTCTAGAGAAAGATTTTTATTGAAAACTTATTCTCTTCCAAAAACTATAATCCTTCGCTCTGTTAGAGATGCCCTTTATCAAGTCGAGGAGGTTCCCTTTCAGGACTAAATTATGGAGAAGTCTATCAGGCATGAGAGTTGGGTTTTATCAATTTTTGTTCCTGCTTCTATTGAGATGATGATATGATTTCACTTTCTCTGTCTTAAAATGCAAAGAATTACATCAATTGATATTCTAAGATTAAACCAACTTTGACTTTCTGAATAAGGCCCACTTGATTATGGCATATTATCTTTATATATATATGTGTGTGCGTATATCTGTATATATATATGTATATACTATATATATTGTATATATGTATATATACACATATATGTACACACACATATAATGTATATACATATGTATATACATTATATTGTATTACATATATACATGTATACAATACATATATTGTATACATATACATATACATATACAATATATGTATTGTATACATTATATATGTAATACAATATAATGTATACAATACATATATATACTATATATACAATACATATATATATACAATACATATATAGTATACATATATACTATATATGTATACTATATATGTATTGTATATATGTATATATGTAATACAATATAATGTATATACATATGTATATACATTATATGTGTGTGTGTACATATATGTGTATATATACACATACACATATATATACACACATATAATATATACACACATATTTATATAAACACATACATATGGAAATATATATATGTAGTTGAATTTGATTTGCTAAAATTCTGTTAAGAATTGCATCTATGTTCATGGAGATATTTGTTTGTATTCTTTTAAAATGTCTGGTTCAGAGCAATAACAATAACAACCTCGGAAAATGTGTTGTGGGGTATTTCTTCTCCAATTTTCTAGAATAATTTATGTGGAATTGGTACTATTTCTTCCTTAAATGGATTACAGAATTAACATACATAGGCTATTCAAGTAATTTATTTGTATCAATAAGTTTAGTAGTTTGTGCATTTAAGTGAATTTGTCCATTTCATCTAAGCTTTCAAGTGTGTATATATCACATATTCTTTATATAATCTGTTGATGGACATTTGGACTGTTTATGTATCTAGGCTATTATTGTGAATAACTCTTCAATGAACATGGGTGTACAGATCTCTTCAAGAGCCTAATTTCAATTTTTTTTTTTTTTTGAGATGGAGTCTCGCTCTGTTGCCCAGGCTGGAATGCAGTGGCGGATCTTGGCTCACTGCAAGCTCCGCCTCCCGGGTTCATGCCATTCTCCTGCCTCAGCCTCCCGAGTAGCTGGGATTACAGGCGCCTGCCACCACGCCAGGCTAATTTTTTTGTATTTTTAGTAGAGATGGGGTTTCACCGTGTTAGCCAGGATGGTCTCGATCTCCTGACCTCATGATCCACCTGCCTCAGCCTCCCAAAGTGCTAGGATTACAGGCGTGAGCCACTGCGCCTGGCCCAATTTTTTAAATATATACCCCATAGTGAAATTGCTGGATCATATGGTAGTTCTGTTTTTCGTTTTTGGAAGAACTTCCATACAGTTTTCCATAGTGGCTGTGCTAATTTATATTCCCACCAATAGTGTCAGAAGGTACCCCATTCTTCACATCTTCACCAGCATCCATTATTTCCGGTCTTTTTGATAAAAGCCATTTTAACTGAAGTGAGATGAGATCTCATTGTGGTTTTGATTTGCATTTCTCTAATGATTAGTGATGGTGAGCATTTTTTTCAGATACTTGTTGGTCATTTGTATATATTCTTTTGAGAAATGTCTATTCAGAACTTTTGCTCATTTTTAAATTGGATTGTATGTTTTTTTGTTGATTGTTTCCTTTGCTGTGCAGAAACTTTTTAGCTTGATGTAATCCCATTTGTCTAGTTTTGCTGTGGTTACCCATGTTTTTGAAGTCTTACACAAAAAATATTTGCCCAGACCATTATCCTAAAGTCTTTCTCCAATGTTTTCTTCTAGTAGTTTCATGGTTTCATGTCTTAAATTTATGTCTTTAATTCATTTTTATTTAACTTTGGTATATGGTGAGAGATAAAAATCTAGTTTCATTCTTCTGCATATGGTTATCCAGTTTTCCCAGCACTATTATTGAAAAGACTGACCTCTCCCCAATGTGTGCTATTAGCACCTTCGATCTTGGAGATCACTATCGTGTTTAAGTACTTTTCTTAAAACTGCTCTTTTGAATTCTTAGAGAGTTCACATATTGCTGTTTCTTTAGGGTCAGTCATTGGTTCCTTGCTTTGTCCTTTTGAGGAGGTCATGGTTTGCTGTTTGCTGTTGTTTCTTGTGAATGTATGTCTATGTCTTTGCTCTGAAGGATTAGCTATTTATTCTAGTCTTCTCTGTCTGGTTTATTTTGGTTTTTCTTGTATTTGTTCATTTAGATATTCTTTATAATTTACCTATTGATTTTTCCAACAGGCTACTGCCTCTTTTTTGGCACTATTGTATGGCACCTTAAGCCCAGGTTTGTCTTGGTTCTGGTAAACAATCATAGTGCTGCTGGTCCTAAGTGGGGAAGCTCCTGAAGGGGATATTCCACTAGTGTGGGAAGGCTGGTGAGGGGTTCCTGCCCAGGGCACCTCTGAAACAGACATACCATGTGGTGCTGCTGAACAGCCACTCTCATTTGGCAAATCTTTTGGCAGAGTTACAGAGCAGAGTTTCCACGGCTGGGGATGGGAGTCCTGCCTTTTCCCTTTGTTTCTGGCTGTCTTAAGGGCTATTTCTGTCTTCAGGTATTCTCAGTGTTTCCCATGAGTTGACGCAGGGACAGGTCTCCTGCAAGGGAAACCAAGATAGTGAGAAAGCTGGTTATCCATCCTCAATCTCACTTTTTCCAGTGTAGAAACCGTGAGTCAGATGGAAATTTTCTGCAAGCTGGGTACTTGGCAGATTGGGATGAAGGGTGTTATGGATATGAAAGTCCAATTCCTTTATTATCTGCTGCTGGAGTTTTTTCACTTCTCTTTGGCCCTGTGAACTGTCACATCATCATATTTGAATTATGAAATATTGCAGCATTGTAGATTTGGTTTTGGTTTTCTTCAGATGGGAGTGAGAGTGAAGCCAGCCTGCTGCTATACCCCAATTTGAAACCAGAACTTAATTTGTTCTTATGTTTAAAATTTCCTAAGGTGGAAGTTCTGGTTATTTATTTGAGACTTTCCAAATATACTCATTTAACACTATCAATTTTCCTCTAAGTACTACTTTAGTTTCTTCCTACAAATATTGATATGATGCATCTTCATTTTTATATTCATAAAATTCAAAATGCTTTCTCATTATTTTGATTTATTCTTTTATTCATGGCTTATATAAAATTATTTTGTGTGTTCATTTATATTTGCATGTGTTTATTTCTGTTGGGTATATATTTAGAAGTGAAATTTCTAGGTCATCTGGCAACTATATGTTCAGTCATATAAGGAACTGCTACACTCTTTTTCAAAGGAGCAGCATTATTTTAGAGTCCCACCAGCAGTCTATGAGGGTTTCAGTTCCTTTGCATCTTTGTTAACACTTGTTATTATCTGACTCTTTGATTCTAGGCATACTATCATGTTTAAGTAGATTTTCATTGTGGTTTTGATTTTTATTTCCCTGATGACTAATGATATCAAACTTTTTATGTGCTTATTGGCCATTTGTATATATTCCTTAGAAAAATACTTATTCAGATTCTTTGCTTCTTTTTTAATTGGGTTATTTGCTTTTTTATTATCAAGTTGTAAGTGTTGTTTATATATTCCAGATACAATTACCATATAAGTTATACGATTTGAAAATATTTCCCCATTCTGTAGATTATTTTTTTATTCTCTAGATGGTGTCCTTTAAAGCGCAAAATTTTTAAATGTAGACAAGGTTCAATTTTATTACTTTTACTTTTATTGTTCATGCTTTTGGTGCTAAATCTAATAATTATTTGTCAAAACCAAGATAATGAAGTGTTAGCCCTATGTTTTCTTCCAAGATTTTTATAGTTTTACTCTTATATTAGATCCTTGATTCATTTTGAGTAAAACTTTATATTGCATAAATTAAATAACTACCTTTGTTTTTTGAACTGTTGGCTTGTACCAGGAAATTTGGGTATACTGAGGAATAAGTATATGTACCACTGTCTTGATTGTCATGGTTTTGTAGCTTTGAAATCAGTAAGTATAAGTCCTCTTATTTTGGTCTTGTATTTCAAAATCGTTTTGGCTATTATGAGATGTTTACAATTCCATATAAGTTTTTGAATCAATTTCTCAATTTTTATAAAGAAGTTAACTGGGGTTCTAATAGGGAATCTGATAGCTGGAATTAAATTACTAGAACAATTTGGAAACTATTGGCATTTAAAAAATGTTAAGTCTTCTAATCAATAAACATGAGTTGTTTTTCCATTTACTTAGATCTTCTTTAAACAATGTTTTGCAGTTTTCAGGGTATTACTTTTGCACTTCTTTTGTTAAATATATTAATATTGTATTCTTTTTGATGCTATTATAAATACATTGTTTTCTTGATTTTATTTTCAGACTGTTCATTGTGATACGTTTTGTGTATCGATCTTGTATCCCAACACCTTGCTGACCTCATTTATTAGTTGTATTAGTTTGTGTGTGCGTGTGTGTGTGTGTGCATGTGTGTGTATTCCTTAGGATTTTCTAAATACAAGATCATGTAATCTTCCAATAGATCGTTTTACCTTTTCTTTTCCAGTTTAGATGCTTTTTATTTTTTTCCTGTGCTGGCTAAAATAGCTCGTACACTGCAGAATAGAAGTGGCAAGAGCAGACATCCTTGTCTTGTTCTGGATGTTGGGAAGAATTCATCCAGTTTATTCCATTAAGTATTATGTCAGATATGGGTTTGAAAGTTGCCCTTTATCAGTCTGAGGAAGTTTCCTTCTGTTACTTATTTCTTAAGGATTTCTAAATCACAAAATGTTACTGGTTTTCGTTAAATGTTTTTTTTGTGTCTATTGAGATGAGCATACAATTTTTATTTTTTAATTTATTGATATGCTGTATTGGGTTAATTCATTTTCAGATGTTAAACAAACCCTGCATTCCTGAGATAAGTCTCACTTGGTCATGATGTATAATTATTTTTATATGTTATTAGATTTGGTTTCCTAATATTTTATTGATTATTCCTTTATAATCCTTTTTATTTCTTTCAGGCCACTAATAATGACCCTTGTTTCATTTCCAGTTTTAGTAATTTGACTCTTTTCTTTTCTTGGTCATTCAAGCTAAAGGGTGATTTTGTCTTTTCAAAGACAAGCTTTTGGTTTTACTGATTTTCTCTATTGTTTTTCTGGTCTCTGTTCATTTGTAATCTAATCTTTATTATTTTCTTTCTTCTCCTTGATTAGGTTTAATTTGCTCTTCTTTTTGCAGTGTCTTAAGGTGGAAGTTTAGGTTATTGATTTGAGGTCGTTTTTCTTAATATAATCATTCACAGCTATGAATTTCTCTCTAAACTCTGCATTACCTATATGATATAACTTTAGTATGTCATGTTTGTATTTTCAGTCATCTCAAAGTATTTTCTGATTTTACTTATTTCTTCTTTGATTCATTGGTTGTTTAGGAGTGTATTGTTTAATTTCCATATATTTGCAAGAGCTCCAGATTTTTTCCTGCTATCGATTGCTAATTCTATTTCATTTTGTTCAGGAACATACTTTGTATCTTTTTTTTGTAAATTTATTGAGGCTTGTTTAACAGAATAGCAAATGGTCTATCCTGGAGAATGCTCCATGTGCACTTGAGAAAAATATACATACTGCAGCTGATGGGTGTAGTGTTCTATAGAGTCTGTTAGGCCTATTTGGTTTATACAATTGTATAAGTCTCTTATATCTTGTGGATCTTTTGCCTAGTTGTTTTATCTCATATTGAAAGTAGGTTATTAAAGTCTCCAACTATTATTGTTGAACTATTTCTCCCTTCACATCTGTCAATATTTCTTCATATATTTTACCACTCTGTTATTGGTTTATAACTGTTACATCTTCCTGGTAGATTGACCTTTATCAGTATAAAAGGTCCCCTTTTATCTCCTGAGGCATCTTTTGTTTCATGTCTATTTTGTCTGAGGTCAGTATAGCTTTCTTGTGGTGCCTGATTACTTAATATGTCTTTTTCCATCTTTTGATCATTATTCTATTTGGGTCTTTGAATTTAAATTGTGTCTCTTTTACACAGCAGAAAGTTGGCTCTTTAAAATCCATTCTGACAATCTTTTTTATTGGATTTTTCAATCAATTTATATTTAATGTTATTTTTAATACAGCTGGGATTTTGCCTATCATTTTACTTTTCATTTTCTATATGTCTTTTCTCTTTGTTTATTCTATTCCTCTTTTTCTACTTTCTTTCTTTTTTTTTTTCCAAAGCAACAAAGGCAGAGATTTATTGAAAACAAAAGTACCCTCCACAGGGTGGGAGTGGGCTGAGCATAGGGGCTTAGGAGTCCTTTTTTTGCTGCTTTCTTTTCCAATAATGAATATTTTCTTGTGTAACATTTTAATTCCTTTAATTATTTTTACTACATTTCTTTGAGTTATTTCCTTGGTGATTGCTTTAGAGCTTACCATATACCTCTTAATTTATCAGAATCTTTTTCAAACTTATATGAATTCAATTCCCATAATATAGGAAAATATTACTCCCACATATTTCTATTTGATTTCCCCTTTCGATGATATTACTGTTATATATATTACATCTAATGATACATTTTATAATTATTCTTTACCATCTGAGGTTATTTACTTACCTAGTATAGCTTTGCCCACTTCCATCTGCTTTGTGCTGTTACAGTCAGATACATTACACAAGTATTGCATTTCTGTATGTTACAAACCCAACAATATGGCATATATATACACACACATACAATTTTAAGAATCACTTGAGAGAAGAAAAAAAAGAATATGAATTTTTACACTTATTTAAAATAACATAATAAATTTTATCTGTCAATGACTTTTGTTTTCTCCTGTAGATTTGAAATACCATTTGGTCTCATTTTCAGACTGTAGAAAATATTTTAATATTTCTTGTCACGTGAGATAGCTAGCAGCAAAATCTCTGTGTTTATCTGGGAAAGTCTTATTTCATCTTTAATTTTGAAAGACATGTTTGCAGGATATATAGTTCTCCAGAGTGTTTGTTCAGTTATTTTTTTCTCTTTCATGCCTAATAAAATGTTTTCTCACTGCCTTCTGCCCTCTGGTGTTTCTGCTGAGAAGTCAGTTATTAGTTTCATTTGTTTTTCGCATAAGCAATGAGTTGTTTTTATCTTACTGCACTCGACATTTCCTCCTTGTCTGATTTGCAGACTTTTTACTATGACATGTCTTCTTCTGGATCTCTGCGTTTATCTTACTTGGAATTTATTGAGCATCCTGGATGTGTAGGTTATTATTTTTCAATAAATTTAGGAAGTTTTCTGCTATTACTTTTTCAAATATTTTTCTTCCTCTCCATGATCTTATAAGTAAACATAACTGTCATGTTTAATGGTATACTGCCTTTCTCTGAGGCTTTGTTAAGTTTTCTTTTTTCTTCTTTCTCTCTTCTCTTTGGCTTGTATAATCTCTATTATTATATCTTCAAGTTTACTAATTCTTTTTTATATCAGTTAATATCTACTATTTAGTCTTTTTGGGCAATTTTTATTTTAGGTATTGTACTTTTGAACTCTAGACTTCCCATTGGTTCTTTTTATGATTCATATCTCTTTATTAACATATTTAATATAACATCATGCTTTTTTTTTCTGCTTCAATGCTTTAGTTCTTTTTTTGTTTGTTTTGCTTTTGTTTTTTTTTTTTTTTTTTTGAGACGGAGTCTCACTCTGTCACCCAGGCTAGAGAGCAGTGGTGCGATCTCGGCTCACTGCAATCTCTGCCTCCCAGGTTCAAGCGATACTCCTGTTTCAGCCTCCTGAATAGCTGGGACTACAGGTGCCCACCACCACTTCCAGCTAATTTTTGTATTTCTAGTGGAGACACGGTTTCACCATATTGGTAGGCTGGTCTCAAAACTCTTGACTTCAGGTGATCCACCCATTTTGGCCTCCCAAAGGTCTGGGATTACAGGAGTGAGCCACCATGCCCAGCCTCTTTTAGTTCTTTAAATATACTTATAATGGCATCTTTGAAGTTTGGTTACACTTACGTGAAGTTTCTGTTGTCTGTTTTCTTTTTTTGCTGGTACATGAGCCATAATTTTTTATTTGTTTGCATGCCTTGAAATTATTGTTGAAACCTTGACCTTTTAGATAAAATGTTGCTGCAAGTTTAGGTACTGGTCCTCTCCCCTCTCTGGGGCTTGCTATAGTTATTTCTTGTTTATTTGTTGAAAAATTGGCTTGAAAATTTTAATTAACTCCATTCCACCCTCTATCAGTGTTAGGCCTCTAATATTGTTCTTCTTGAAGGCACAGCTTTGGGTATGCATCCTGGGACAACAGTGGTTTGATATGGCTCTCTTATTCTTTTTCCCTGTCCACATCCAGCTGTTAAACTCTAGTAACTGCTGAGTGATGGATCTATTGTTTTCAAAAGTATCCTGAATAAATTTCTCTACACCAATCTAATAAATTCTAGTTCCTTTGAAGGAGGCTTTGAAATTGCCTTTGCAAAAGTTATCACTAAGACAGTTATTACAGTGAAAGAGATCTGACCTAACTGACTCCATCTTGCTTCTAACCTCTAACCCATCCTTGTTCATTCCTTTGAGTAGGCCGCACTAACTCTGGGAGGAACTTAGTTTCTGGTTTAGCTCTACAACAAAGACAATAACAGCCCTTTCCCCAAACAAACCTCCTTCCTGCCTAGGGACTAGACTGCCTTTGTAAGACTAACAAATTAGCCAAAAGATCAGAAATTATGTATTAGGAGTCATGCCACTGGAGGCTGCAAGTTTGTAAACCCTCTCAGATTGCTCCTGAGGATAACATCACTATTACAAAACCTAAGATCAGTGCTTGAGATATTTTACAGACCCTGCACTTGATGGATCCACTGGCACCACCCAGATGGATAAAGTGACTCATCTGGTCTTGTGGCCCCCCACCCAGGAGCTGACTCAGCGCAAGAGGACAGCTTCAACTCCCTATTATTCCATCTCCAACCCAACCAATCAGCACTCCCCACTTCCCAAGCCCTAACCCCCCAAATTAGTCTTAAAAAACTCTGATCCCTGAATTATAGGGAGACTGATTTGAATAATAATAAAACTCTAGTCTCCACACACAGTCAGCTCTACATGAATTACTCTTTCTCTATTGTAATTCCCCTGTCTTGATAAATCGGCTCTGTCTAGGCAGTGGACGAGGCGAACCAGTTGGGCGGTCACAGTTTCTGTGTCTATATTTGATATTTATTCTGACCTCAGAAGGGCTCCTTCCAGCTGTCTTATTCCTCAGTTCTCTCCTAAAACTACCCAGCTATCATCTAGACTTTATCTATGTTAAATCCAAGAGCCTCTTTCTAATTGTCTTTTACCACAACTACCTCCATTGTTCTTAAGAGTGTCTATACTATGGAACTTCTCTATGTTCTGCTGCAATTGATGTCAGTTCCTTTGGGAAGAGATTAGGAGCTATCTATTTTATGGCTTGTTTCTTCCCATAGGCAAAATTTTTGAGTAAGGCTCTGGAGTTGTGAGTAAAGACAATGGCAAGCTTCTCTGGACTACTGTAGGAGCTTAGTGGAAGATGTGGTGGGGAGGGAAGCAGCCTGAGCCTGAAAACCCTCTTGGATTTTCTCTTCTTGCATGGAACCACCTACCAAGCTGGGGCATGCATGCTGCATCAAGGAAGAGCCTCCATTCCATGAGTGGAATCTCAATGGAAGAAGGAAGACAGCACTTCTCAACTACACTTTCCCAAACCTTAGCCTCAGTAGCAGATAGCCAGGCACAGGATAAGAAACTCATATCCTGTTTCTGACAGAAAGAAAGCTCTCTCACTGGGAACTAAAGGGAAAGAGATTCCTGTGATCTTAGCTACAGAAGAAAAAAATGAAATCTCTTTTTCACTATGCTGAAAAAAAGGAAGGAGGGAGTAGTCATGGCCCAACATTTTTACCAAATATTTCTTGATTTTCTTGAACAGATGCTTCTTTATTTGCTGTTTGCTCTTAAGACAATTTCCAAAGGCTTTATATTGTTTTTTCTTTCTTTTCTTTTCTTTTCTTTTTCACTGGGAAGTAGGTCAGCAAAGCTCTATCCACTATCATACTGGAAGTCAATCTGAACCCTTTAAAAAATCTATTTTTGTTGCAAGACTCCTGGGAAAAGTGTTCCCAGTTATAGGATTTCTGCAGATACACACACACACACACACACACACACAAGTTTTTTTTTTAAACTTTGTCTTTTTTTAAACGACAAAAAGCATTGCAGCACAACAAAAATGTCTAAATTTTTTTACATTTTTTAGCTTAAATGGTTTTAACAAAATCCTCCTGTTTTGTGTAGCTAATTGCTACCAGTCTGTAACTAAACCCAAGATTACAGTAGCTCAACACATAGAATTTATAGATAAGTCAATTTTGTAACCTTGCCTTTTGGCTTTTGGTTTTTGACTCCTATGTTGCATAAAAGATTTTCAGGTTTGATGAATGCCTGCTCACCTCCATTCCCATCTGGCCTAGAACCTTTAAATTGGCTATAAACCTTTTTGCTCAAAGTCCCTTGGCCATAGGAGTCCCACCAAGCAACAGGATAAACCTGAGGCAGCTAGCCACACCAACCCAGCAATGCTATGGGACACAATGAAAGTTTGGCCACTGAGGTTGCCTCTGGCAAATCTTGTCCAGAAGCAGGAGAATTAAGGCCAAAAATGAAATTTTAAGCCTTGCAACTGACTAAATAGATCCCTCTCTTGGCCAAGGGAATCCCAAACGAACCTGAGAAACTAGCTCAGGTCACAATGGGAAGAGGGGATTTGGACATACCTCATTATAAGCCCGCCCTTTGGAGTTTAGACACAACTGACCAGCATTAACATTAAAATAGAGATTGTAAGACTGACAAATCACTCTTTGTAGCAATAAAATACAAAATTCCAAAATTGGAATTTTTGGTGTCTGGGATACCATCACATGACAGATAGCAGGCCCTAAAGGAAACCAATGTATTTTACCACAAAATATATTTATTTGGCTTATTTTGGGATGGCCCTGCAAAGCTGTCCCTTGTGGGGGGAATTTGCATTCTGTAGAGGATCTCCTTTCCTTTCTAAAGGAAATCTTATTAAAGATTATTGGTAACATACAAATGTCTTCAAAATGTAAATGTGGTCTAAATTATGTTCAAATATTAGGTTTGCTAAATGCGTTAAGGTCATAAACTGCTTCTTTGGCTTTTGAAAATTGTTTAACTTGCCTGCTTTCCAGCTAGGTAAGGCCTGGGGACATGTGGAGTTGGCCACACCCCCTAGCTATGCTGGAATTAGACCTTATCAGAACATAACTTACCTGGTTTTATGTTAAAATTGCTAAGAGTCATCATTATAACACTCAATTAAGACTACTAGAAAGAGTTTTACATGCAAGATGTGTTAGAACAGTACAATGTGGGGGTCTTTTGTAAAAGGTTATAAAGGTTTTTCTTCTTTAAAATTTCTCAGTCATCATTTTGGCAAAATAAATAATTTATGGTAATCTGGAATTCCAAAATCAAACTTTAATTTTAAAACTGTCTTTCCTAATGCCTGGCTTTTTGGATGGATCAGAGGGACGCTGAAAATATCCAGAAAAGCAGTAAACAGGATTATTTGACGTGTTTAGGTACATGGGATTGCCAAAATGATGTTCAATCTTCTTTAGGTTATATTTTTGTGAGTCATCCCAATTCATTATATTTTTTTGCTTTTTTGTTTGCCTGGTAACTTTTTTTTTTTTTTTTTTTTGAGACGGAGTTTGGCTCTGTCGCCCAGGCTGGAGTGCAGTGGCGCGATCTCTGCTCACTGCAAGCTCCACCTCCCGGGTTCACGCCGTTCTGCCGCCTCAGCCTCCCGAGTAGCTGGGACTACAGGCGCCCGCCACCACGCCTGGCTAATTTTTTTTGTATTTTTAGTAGAGACATGTAACATGGGGTTTCACTATGTTAGCCAGGATGGCCTGGATCTCCTGACCTCGTGATCCGCCTGCCTCGGCCTCCCAAAGTGCTGAGCCACCGCTCTCGGCCTTTGCCTGGCAACTTTTAATTGGATATCTAACACTGTAAACTTTGTTTGTCAGTTGCTATATGTTTTGTATTTCTACAAATAGCCCTATGCTTTATTCTGGAATGCATTTATGTGGCTTAGAAAAGGTTTGATTCTTTCAAAGGTTACTTTTTTTTTCTTTCTATTATTATTATTATACTTTAAGTTTTAGGGTACATGTGCACAACATGCAGGTTTGTTACATATGTATACGTGTGCCATGTTGGTGTGCTGCACCCATTAACTCGTCATTTAGCATTAGGTATATCTCCTAATGCTATCCCTCCCCCCTCCCCCCACCCCTATCGCAAGGACAAAAAATCAAAGGTTGCTTTTAAAATTGTTAGCAAGAACAGGAGCATCTTTTGGCCTATGGCTAATTTTTCCCTACTACTGCAGGAAATCAATTTTGGCTATTCTACCAAATGCGCCATGAATTATGTAGTTTTCCGACTTAGCGAGTTGGAACACAAACTATTCCTACCATCATATGATCTCCATGGATGGTTAATTTTTTTTTTTTTTTTTTTTGCCTCTAGCCTTGGGTAGTTTTCTCACACATTTATGAGCTGATCTGTACTCAAGTGAAGACTCAAGGGAGATACTTGCAGATCTCCATACCCTTTCTCTATGAAGCGCTCTGTCTGTGTCTGGGACTTTGGCATGTAACCTCTAGCTGCCTTGGCTGTAGACTTCTAGCTCTGTCTTCTCAACTCAAGGAACCTGAAGGTTATTCCTGGATTCCCCTTCTCTATGCTCTGACTTAGAAATCTTCCAAGTAGTAAGCTGAGCAAATTGTAGGAATTATGTCATTTGTCCCCCATCTCTCAGGAATCACTGTCCTGTGCAACCTAGTGTCTAATTTCTGTTTTATAGCATTTCATATGAGAATATAAATATGATTTGTTGCTCCATCTTGGCTGAAAAAATAAATTTTATAATCTAATGTAAAGCCTTTTGCCTTTCAGGCATTACAGAAAGAAATGTAATAAAATTGAACCCAGTGCTACTTAGGAAAAAATTAGGATGATGATAAAATTACAATAAACTTATCAATAGACAATTGTTCTTTCCTATGATAGCAGGTTATAACCAGGAATGAAGCCTCAGATGCATATCTTAGGCTTCAAGAAATAACACTGAACTAGTGTTATTTTTCCCATGTATAAAAAAATATAATAGGATACAGATCAAAATTGTTCACCTCAGCTCAAATTGGCTTATAAACCCAAATTTTCTGGAGACAACATCAGTACTGATGGCATGCGCACACACACACACACACCATTTCATGAGTTTCCATCAATCCACATCACTTATTCACGTTACTTGCCAGTAATCGATACTGTTCCTGTGTGAATGCATATAATATTCACAAAATACAATTTTGATAATGTCTTACAGGCATGTGTGTATATACACAAACACACACACACATAAACATTGTGGTTGGAAATGTAAAAATATTTAAGTCATAAAGGGTAACTATGTGAGGTGCTAAAGCAAACTAAATATGGCCTGAGAGGGACTCCGTACTTCAATATTTTAGTCCTTGTAGATGAACTGTAACCTAGCTTAATAGTCAGACAAGATTGTAAACCTAATTCAGGAGTATGCGCCTGTAACTATAACTAAGTCTTGGCCAATCCAAGAAGCCATACTTCAACCACTCATAGACTGCTAAGAGTTCAAACTGTTCAAATAAGGCAAACAACAACCTGTAACCAATCCAGCTGTTTTTGTACCTCACTGCCAATTTACATACGTCATTTTTCTTCTTTTGTCTGTAAATCCTCTTTCACCACATGGCTGTTCTGGATTCTCTGTGAATCTGCTGTGATTCTGGGGGCTGTCTGATTCGCAAATTGTTCATTGCTCAATTAAACTCCTTTAAATCTAATTCAGTTGAAGTTTTTCTTTTATCGGAGACAACAGTTGTGTTAACTAACTTGATTGTGGGAGTCATTTCACAAAATATATGCAAATCGAATCATCACATTGTACACCGTAAACACACAATTTTATCAGTTATACATCAATACAGTTGAAAATGTTAAATATATATAAATACATAAATTTTAAATATATATCCTGTGTGCCTATGAGTCTCAAACTACTACAAAAATAATTGATAATTGCAAAAGAAAATGCTAAGTGTATACGATATGTACTATATATACTAATATATGTAGTATTTATACTTAGCATTTCTTTTGCAAATATCAACCATTTTTATAGTACTTTGAATCTGTCTTTTTCCACAGAAGAGTGTTTATAGAAAAGTGACTAAGAAAGATAGTCCCAACTTTAGAAGCAGAAGTACTGTTAAATAATAATGATGATAATATAGCCCTACTGACTTCCAATTTTTCTTCAAGGGAGATTGATTTGAACTTCATGAGAGTATAACATTATTAATGGTAATTTAAATTCCATTAAGCAGTAGAGTATCTGGATACTTTCAATATAGTCAAATGAATTCAATATGATCTTCTTAATTACAATCTGGAGTATGGAAACACAGTAAATTTGGATCATAGGACCACTGTAGACAATGTTTGAGAAGTTTTAGTGACACACAAAAAAATGCTGAAAATTTGGAAAAAAGAAAATATTCTCTAGTATTTAAAATGTGAAAAAGATAATTCCCTATGTATACTTCAATGTAAGTCAGTGACTTTGCTTTTAATACCTGAAGAAAAAAAAAAAACATTAAAAATGGACTTTGACAGAAATACTTTTTCAGCGCGTAGCATAGTAATCACTCTAACAACAATCACTCTGGTTTAGTATTGGAACATGAAAAATCAAAAACGAGTCATTAAAAACCATACTATTTTCCTTTTTGAGAAACTCGATTAGGTTAGACATTTTGAAAAGGTAAGTAACACAGGGTTTCTGATTTTCAATAAGACATTTAATAAATTTTAAAGTCATTCTGTGTGTGTGTTCGTGTGGAAAAGAGGTAGATGTGAACTAATGATAGATTGGGTAGATCTAAAACTTTTGAGCAGTTCTGGCCCCTAAAATTGACATGCTTAATGTGGAAAGAAGTTCAGACTCTGTTATTTATCTTTTCCTATTTAATGACATATAAGCATCCTAAATAAGGCAAAACTTGTAGCTTTTAGCTTTATGTAATAGAATTTACACTAACCGTGCCTTGGTTCAATAGATGATCATTTTTCTCCTAGCTCAATTATGTCTTTTTCCTTCAACAGTCTCAATACCGGTAAATGGACATCTTTGTGGTTATTAAAGGTCCACAAGCCTTCACACAGTAGTGTTTTATGCTGGAATAAAGGAATGTGGCCAAAGGGCTTTCTGTTTTCCATACCATTCATTATCAGAAAAGAAAAACTTGCACAGAAGCACCCAGAAAACTTCTTATGTCTCATTGGCCAGAAGAGAATCATACGCCTCTCCTAGACCATGCAATGCCAAATTAGGACTTTGATTTGGTTTGTTTAGACAATTATGATTTATATCTCAGGCCTGGGCATGTGGCCAACTAAAAGAAAACAAAATTAAGTTCTTCTAGGGTGAAGAAAAGAGATACTGGGTGTTTTATAAGCAAGCAACAATATCTGTCATAATTAAACACATACTAATGATAGAATAGTTGGAGGGATAGTTACCATTTTGGATATTTAAATCAAGATTTAAAAAGCTCTCAAAAGCCTTAAATAATTGATTAAAATTTAAGAAAAATAAACTACATAAATAATTGTAGAATATTTTACATTTCACCATTTACATTCAACTACATTGAGAGTCAGTTTGCTTAAGACTACTTGAAATGAGAAGACACATGTGATTTTGTTTGACTAACACATTCACTGAAATTAATTGTTAACATTAAATTGAAACCTGCTACAATGTAAGATTGTATTTATATTGCCTGAACTCTACACTAGGCTAAATTGTAGCTAGAATATTGTTTCCCATCTTGGGATACATTATAAAGAGGCTATTTATAAACTGAAGCACAAACAGAAGAACATCCATGAAAACTAAAGAAGAAGAAAATATTCTAAAAGCTGAAGGCATTTAAAGAGAAGAGAGAAGACGCAACATTTTGTGACAACTATCTCCAAATTTAGAAAGACTTTCCTATGGAAGAAGAATTAGGATTTTTTTTTTTTATTCCTCCTGCATGGCTAACATTTACTGAGCTCTTTCTCTGTTAGGGCTCCATAAAAACTTGGTGCATTTCATAGAGTTTGATTATTAAATTGTGAATTTATTCCCTTCATTACACTGATTAAGAGAACAGTATTCATTAATTGGATTTTTTCACTGATTATTCTTTCACACTGAAAAGTGTGATGCACACTGTTCACAGTTTAGAACATAGTATGAGCTCAGTCGATGTTAAGCACTATCTTTATCAAATAGTACAAATGGGAAAAGTTACCCATAGAGAAATTTTTGACTTAATTTTTGAAGAAGATTTGGACAAAGTGCATTGTTGAAGATTGCACTTGGTTGCCTGACAAGACAGTAAGTAGCCTGTTTATCACAAGCAAAACTGAAAAAACACTAAGTTATTTATTCATTCATTTATTTAACAAATGTTACCCAACTACCTACGCATCAGGCTCTGTTCTATATATTGATGTTATAGCCATGAAGAAGAAAAAACAAATTTCTGCCCCTCTTAAAGCATATACCATAGTGAAGAGGAAAGACACAAATGAAATAAAATGTGTTGTATAGTGTTAGTGCTATAAATATGAATAAAGAAGAGGAATAGATAATTCCAGGGGTGCTATTAGGTAGGGACAGGAATCCAAACATTCTCCTATGAGCCAAAGGGAAAAATAAGAAAAAGAAATGAAAACAAAACACAAGATAATATGAACAGAAAACTGAATAGTATGAGCATAAGTCATGTACAAAGCGGATTCTATGGTTTGAATGTCCCCTGCAAACTTCGTGTTCATATTTAATTGCCAACATAACAGGATTAAGAAGTGAGGCCTTTAAAGAGGGCTCTATGCCTTTAGGAAAGAGCTTTCAGGAGCGGGTTTGCTTTTGAGCACTCTTGCCCTCCCTTGTTCTTCCTCCTTCCCCCATGGGATTACACTGTACAAAGACCCTTACAGGATGCCAGAGCCAAGCTCTGAAACTTCCCAGCCTCTAGAACTGTGAGCCAAATAAATTTCTGATCATTATACATTACCCAGTCCATGGTATTCTGTCATAGCAACATAACATAGAATAAGACAGTGGGGAAAAAGCATTCCAAACTAGAGGCCTTGAGGAGTGTGCTTAATATGTTCAAAAACCAGCAAAATGAGCGAGGCGAAGCACAGTAGGAAAGGAAGTCAGCAAGGCAGCCTGAGTCTAGACTATGAAAGTCTTTGAAGTCCTTATTAAGGGTATAGATGTTTCTTTATTTAGCTAATGGATTATCTCTCAGTGAAAAAAATCCAATTCATGAGTACTGTTCCCTTAATCACTTCTGCAAAGGGAATGAATTCATTAACTAGCTGGATAACTAACCATATAATCATTCAATTCTTTCTATTCCCTGATAATCTATATCTTACTTGACACTTATAGAGTCCAAATATGCAATCTCGTTTATCATCTGAAGATTCTCATTAAATCTGCAATTTATTTCCGTAGTCAGTGCTATAATATGAGTGCTTATATCCTCCTAAAATTCATATGTTGAAAGGTAATCACTAATGTGAAGGTAATAGAAGGTGGAGCTTTTGGGAGGTGATTAGTCATGAGGGCAGAGCCCTCATGAACAGAATTTGTGCCCTTATAAAAGTGACCCCAGAGAACTACCTTGCCTCTTGCCACTTGTGAAGACACATTACGAAGAAAGCCTCTATGAATCATAAAACAAACCCTCACCAGATATCCAACCTCTCAGTCCTTTATCTTGGACTTTCTAGCTTCTAGCATCATGAGAAATAAATTATTGGTTATTTATAAGCTATGTAGTTTGTGGTATTTTGTTATCATAGCCTCAATGGACCAAGACAGTCAATCTCACCACGTTTATCACAGGGTATATGGTTCAGTACCTATAATTTCTTATTTTTAAGTCAAGGGACTTTAGACAGACTTATGATTAACAAAGCATGCAGTTTCAATAACTAACATCTATGGATTCATTTTAACCAAAAAGAAAACAAAGATTAGGTTTAGATCTACATTTTTTAAATATATCCCTTCACTTCCTCTGCTGCTTTTGTTGCTAAGTCCCCCTGGCAACATGATGCACTGTGAAGGTCAGGATGAACATTGCCGTAAACAGAACAAGGACAGGAAAGTTAACAGAGAGAAGATTCTGTAGCTGCAAAAATACCTCTAGGTGTTCCGGACACTATGTGCCTATAGCTGGCTACAGGATCACAGCAGCCAAAAGCCCTCCAGGAAGAAGTATGGAAGCAGCTTTATTGAGGTTGCCAGCAAGGTAAAAACAAAATTCTTCTCTTAGAAAAATTATCACTGTAATCCATTTCATTGAAAATGCCAAATGTTTAGAATTAGGAAGTCTAGCCATTATAGAGAAATGGTGTGCACTCAGGTCCAGGGATGGAAGTTGATGCCAATGAGATGCATTAAGCAACGTTTAGATGCATGGTAATCGTGGATTGGATGTCTGCTCCAAAAGTGTTCGCTAGATGATCTCAGAAAATTAATTGGGTTAAATATTCCTGGAGGTTGATCTAGAGCACTAGTTCTCAAACTTTAGTATGTATCAGAATCACCTAGGAAACTTGTTAAACACGGATTGCTGGGCCCTCTTCCTACAGTTTCTTATTATTAGGTAAGGGCTGGACTGGATAATTTGCATTTCTAACAAATTCCCAGGGATTGAAATGTTACTGAATCAGGAACTACTACTTGGAAGCACTAATCTAGGGACAATTAATTGAGAAATGGAAAATTTGCCCTAAATAAAATATATGTGCCCACTCAACTGTTTTATGTAGTAGAGATTAGAAGACTGAATATTATAATTACTTGCTTTAGATCTAAGATTTTTCAATGGAAACTTTAGTCTGACTTTTTAAAATGATATTATTGTGATGGCTAACATTTATAGAGACTTGAATTTACCAAGAAATTTATAGGTAACAGAATTATTTAGTACTTACAACGGCCTTAAAAGGCAGGCTTTACTGTCCCGTTTAATAGATGAAAAAAGAGTTTATGTCAGGTTGTAAGATTACAAAGCTACTGAATTGCAAGGACAATATTAGAATCTGAATTCTTATTTTTCTTACATGAGTGTTTTTCAGAATTTAATGTGCATATGAGTCATCCAAGAATCTTGTTAAAGTGCAGACTCTGTTGATCATACAATCAATATGTAATGGCAAAAAGTCATCAATATTATGATAATATTTAAAATGAATTAATATTATACTAATCACAGTATTACTCGTATAATTTAAAATGGCAGTACATAAGGTGTGCAAATATTTATGCCACCAAAATAAATTGTGTATAACTCATGTGAATTGAGTATTTGAAAAAACTAAATCTATCAGACAAAAAAATAGAAAACATAATTTGTCTTTTTTGGTTAATAGAAATGTATATTCTGTTTTTAGTTAAGGCTAAAGAATTCAGCCCTTAAGTCTCAATATGCAATCAAAATAGGAATGGGGCCAGGAGTAGTGGCTCATGCCTGTGATCACATAACTTTGGGAGGCCAAGGTGGGAGGATTGCTTGAGGCCAGGAGTTTGAGACCAGCCTGGGCAACATAGCAATGCCCTGTCTCTACAAAAATAAAAATAAGTGTGACATGGTGGTGGGTGCCTGTAGTCCCAGCTACTTGGGAGGCTGAAGCAGGAGGATTGCTTAAGCCCAGAAGTTTTAGGCTAGAATGAGCTATGATCATGCCACTGCACTCCAGCCTGGGTAACAGAGCAAGACCCTATCTCTAAAAGTATAAAAATAAAAAATAAAAATAGGAATGGTATAGGTTTTTAAAGCTAGTATCAGCAAGCAGTCCACATTACTCTAAGAACATTATGCTTAAGTTTGAGTTCCTTCTAGTCAGGGGATTTTTTTTAGTTTTTTTCTTTATGAATTTACTTGAAGGCCATATTATAGTCAGTTTTTTAAATGCATCTTTAAAATACATTTTATTTAACTCTTATGTTTATTAACTAAATATAAACTATATTTATTTTCAAGCATGTTATTTTTATTTTAAACCATAATATAGCTCTCCAAATACTATCTCAAAATATATAAACTGAGTTTCTTTTAAATACCCTAGGAAATACCCAAAACTTTAAAATCAAAAGACTACCACACAAGAGCATTGCTGCCTAGAAATAGCCAGCTCCCCAAAATGATTGTTTAAACTTTAAAAACTCCTTTTTTCCTGACATCTGCATTAATTAATCAGTTGCATAAAATCCCTGATATATATGTACTCAATATTTACATGAGAATCATATTTTTATGTTCTAAAATTAAACGTGGACATTTTTAGAGGTTATTTACAAGATGCCCAAGTGGATGCATCTGCCATAGATAATCATCTGCATTGTCAGAAAAATGCAATTCGTCATTTTTCCAGCTGAAACCTATGTTTTCATGATTCTCAGGATCTCAAGTGGTACTAGAACTTTATCTTTTTGCCTCTTAATTTTCTGTCTTTGTTTATATTTCTTAGCCACGGCTGTTGCTCTGTCTGTGCATTATTTAACTAATGGTTTGAGTTCTCTCTCCCCAGCCAGAAGCAAAAACTGGTAGAGCATTAGCCACCATTGCATAGTTCAGGGAACACCCTGTGTGTATATGTGAGTGGGTTTATATGTCTGTAATTAAGAATGTCCACCAGGATGCTAGAAATCTATCCTATCAGGTCAGAGACAACATAAAATCTGGTTTGTTAGCCTTCTTTTGTTTGTTCATTTTGCTATGTGTGAGTTCAAATCAACTGCAAAATTTTCTTTTGAACAATCAAAAGTAGAATAGACTTTTGAAACGTGGATTTGTGCTTCATTGTTATCCTTCACCAGGAGCTGAGCCTGCTGAATTGAAGCAGAAAGTGATGTGTCTGCAACTGAGAAAAGCCTTTTCCTCTCTTTGTGTGAATTTAAAATATTTTCTTTCCTCTGGGGGATATTATTACACTAGATAATAAAAACTCTCAAATTAATCACATATATTATACATCTAACATTCTCAGAAAATAATGAAACCAAACTTTTAATACTTTAAATCTGCTAGCCATTTGAGAAAAAACAATCCTCATGAAACCACTATCTAGAAACATTTTCACTTAAAAATTCAAATTCATAAACTTAAGGTGAATCTTTGAACAAAATAGACTGGCATAATAATTTTGATTTAAAAAGTGAATAAAGAGCTGTATATAATTTTCGTGACTTTATTAGTATTAGTTTGTGCTATAAAACAGGCATACCTTTTATTTTTTAATAGGGTTTGTGTTTTTTATTTTTTGAAGAGGCCAATTAATCAGACTGCTTAAGTTTCTTTTTAATTTTTAGATAGGAAGATTTTTTTTTTTGTTTTTAACTTTTATTTATGTTCAGGGGTAAAATCGTAGGTTTGCTATACAGGTAAACTGTATGTCTAGGGGGTCTGGTGTACTGATTATTTCCTTACTCAGGTAATAAGCATAGTACCCAATAGGTACTATGGGTACTAAGGGAGATCCTCCCACTTCTCCCACCCTCCACTTTCAAGTAATCCTCAGTGTTTGTTGTTCCCCTCTTTGTGTCCATGTGTTCTTATTGTTTAGCTCCCACATATAAGTGAGAACATGTGATATTTGGTTTTCTGTTTCTGTGTTAGTTTGCTTAGGATAATGGCCTCTAGCTCCATCCATGTTGCTCCAAAGGACATGACCTCATTCTTTTTTATGTCTGTGTAGTATTCCACGCTGTGTATGTCCTGCGTTTTATTTATCCACTCTACCATTGATGGACATTTAGGTTGATTCCATGTCTTTGCTATTGCGAATAGTGCTGTGATGAACACATGGGTGCATGTGTCTTTATGGTAGAATGATTTATATTCCTTTGGTTACATACCCAATAATTAGATTCTTAGGACAAATGGTAATTCTGTTTAAACTGAGCTGCTTGAATTTCTGACACTGGTTTATTGATCAGAATACATCATTATTTCTACAAACTTTAGGATTGTGAAAATGTAACACTAGGGCTTAATCCAATTGAAAGATAATTCTTCATTCTTTTTATTAGCAATAATATCTTTCTACAGTGTGTCACTCAGGTTTGAGATAGAAGAACAAATAATAGAGGCATTTAAAAGACCCAATCTTAATTTCCAAAATGAAATTTCCACACAAATGTTAATTTTTTAGCTTCAGTATTTGTTCTGTGCTCCAAACTCAGGGAGTCTTGTATAATTAATTCACCATGTTTTCTGCACATGTGTAAAATGTCAGGCCAAACATAATGGAGCCAGACTCTTTTGAAATCAAGAAAAATTTTTAGAGGTTGTTTATTATCAAAATAGAGGAACTGTTAAGAAAACATATCCAAAACTTCTAAATAAAAAGAGCACAGTGTATCATTTCCAAATCTCAGGACTATTTAGAGTAATTTACCTGTGAATGTCATTCATATGTTTTTTTTAATTCAGGCCTAGACACTGTGAAGTTGTATGTTAATTTGTGTATTTCTGTTCATTGGAAAAATACCTTAAAAGTAATGGTTTCATTATTACCCTGTAGAACACTAAAGTTTTAAAAAAAATCTAACCTAGAGATCATAGTCTAATGCTTGTTTTTCTCAAATGCCTATACTCAATGGTTTTTTAACCAGCGTTAGCATCTTACTGTTTATTTGTTCATGAGTTCTATTTTATTTGACACATCTTCATTTTATATCTGTATGACAGCTATGTTTTGAATTACTGAAAATTTTATTTGACAATTAATACTCTGGTACTCACGCATCATAACCACCTCACAGAAAACTCTTGCTTAACTGTGCGTTTCGACTATAGCCCCGTTGTTCTCTATTACTCAAGACCCATATTGTGCTCAATTGAGCTCAGGAACGATGGAAATATCATCATTCTAAATTCCACTTCTGCCAGCTTTGATGACCAAAGAAAATTTATAAGTATTTCTTTTCAACTAATGGGTCAAATGGCATGCCCTGACTTGACATGATATAACCAAAGACAGAAGCTAATGCAACAAGCTATGAAACTTTGTTAAAACTGACACGTGAGCTTAAGAGCTTATTTTTGTCACAGAATGACTTATTTCTCTTAATCCTTTTCTTCATTTTGAAGGATTACGGCTTCTTTGACGCATGAACGTTTTGGAATTTATGAGGATTTTAATGAGGATTTTCTGAAAAAAATAAAAATGTAAGTAGAAAACTATGAGTGTGTATATTCTTGAATTGTTAAAGATGTAAACCAAATATTTACATTCATTGCTTTGGGGGGAGTATAATTAGTTAATCTGGAGTGTTAGCTACCTTGCTATTGCTATTTTTATCCAATACTCTTTTAAAAAATGTGGAAGCCTCATATGAATGAATTATGCTTTTTAGAAATATTCAAATTCCAACAAAGGAAAATTAATGTGCATAGAATTTCCATAGATTTTTACTTTTTCCACCTGACAATGTGATGATGGAAATAATTGAGATGGTGATGGTCT
This sequence comes from Homo sapiens, assembly GCF_000001405.40. NCBI lineage: Eukaryota > Metazoa > Chordata > Mammalia > Primates > Hominidae > Homo > Homo sapiens. The sequence goes on along the minus strand of NC_000004.12, from coordinate 156,138,527 downwards.
GTCCCTCTGGAAATAATTGAGATGGTGATGGTCTGTCCCTCTCAGCTCATTATTCTCGAATTATTTCCTACAGTATTTAATGTTTCCTTCCCACGGATTTCCATAGCAACCATATAGAAGCAGTGTTTCATAATTAACTGCTTAATACCCATTCAGTGCAAAATGATGCCCAGGAGTGGGAGTTCCCTTCTTGGCTGAACTACTGGCAGTGAGGCCTTTCATTAAAGCTGGGACTGGATACCTCCAGACTAGCAAAGCGCCAATGTAGTCAGTGTTCTCTCAGGAAAAAAGAACTGCAGCAGCAGCTCCCAAAAGCTATAAACCCGTGGAGCGGGTCCCCACTGTGCGTGTGTGCTCAGTGCTACTTGTTTGCATTGTGCTCAGTTCACCCAGCTGCTGGTGTTGGTTTTCTCATTATTTTAAACTGTATAGCCCAAAATAGCTTCTGGCATGCTGTCTTCAGCACAGAAACTCATAAAACCTCGGCAAGAGGAGTATTGGCTTTATTATCCTTCTCTGTATGACTGAAGCTTTCAAAAAGAAAAAAGAAGAGCCTGGGGTACAAACCTGTGACAAGGCCTGTGAGTTGAAGATTTTTAAAATGAGGCCACATGCCTATTGTTAATCCTCACTCAGGGAACATGCTTTCAGCTTACTTATCATCCAGCACTGGAAGCTGCTGATCCGCAGCAGGATTTAGGTAGAGGAAAACAGGCCAAGACCTGGAAATGAAGACATCTGGATTCTTATCCCCAACACTGTCATTAGCTACTGTGTGTGACTTCCTCCAGGTAGCCTCTTTGGATCTTCATTTAATCATCCGTTGGGGGAAAAAAAAGGAAAAGAAGGATTTGTCTAGAGAAATGCCTGTACACCCTTTAAACAGTGCTTATCACATAATACAGGTATAATCAATGCTAATTACATGCTTCTTAAGACCCTTCTTGATCTAAAATTCATTTTTCTCATAATCTCTGAGGAAATGTAAGGTGCTCTCAATATAGTTAAGGATCCAAGAATAATACACATGTGATGATTTTGAAAATAAGACAAGACTATACATTTCTGTGCTAAATTGAGAAATACACTAAAAAAAAAAAAAGAAGAGAAAGAAAGCTGCTCTCACCACCCCACATTTGCCTTAAAATATCTCTGTCTGTTCATTCCTTCTCTATTCCTTCGCTCCTGCTGAAGAAAATGGGATCTTTCTACTTACCAAAGATATTCATTTAACCTGAATCTCCAAATCCCATTTCCTTCTACCTTCCTTCAGAATACTGTTCCAAAATAAGCACCCTGTTTTCTTTGTACTTCAACTCTCCTTTTCTCCTTGTTCCTTCCTTGTGAATTAGAAACAATCTCAAGTCTCTCCTTCTCACTATCTTGATTAAATTGTACTACCACTAAACCTGCTGACATTTCCAAAAAACACACTTGCTTGTTTATTTCCTTTTTGTTTTTAAGGATCTCAAGTGCTCAGAATTGAAGTTCTAGTGTAGATTTTTTTTTCTTTTTTTAACTTTTATTTTAGGTTCAGGAATACATGTATAGGTTTGTTACACAGGTAAACTCATGGGGGTTGTTGTACAGATTATTTAGTCACCCACGTACTAATCCTAGTACCTAACAGTTGTTTTTTTCTCTTCCTCTCCCTCCTCCCACCCTCCATCTTCAAGTAGGCCCCAGTATCTGTTGTTCCTCTCTGTGTCCATGTGTTCTCATCATTTGGCTCCCACTTAGAAGTGAGAACACACGGTATTTGTTTTTCTGTTCTTGCATTAGTTTGTTTAGGATAATGGCCTCCAGCTCCATCCATGTTCCAGCAAAGGACATTAACTTATTCTTTTAATGGCTGCATAGTATTCCATGGTGTTTATGTACCACATTTTCTTTATCCAGTCTACCATCAATGGGCATTTAAGTTGATTCTATGACTTTGATATTGTGAACAGTGCTACAATGAACATACACAAGCATGTGTATTTATGGTAGAATAATTTATATCACTTTGGGTATACACCAAGTAATGGGATTGCTGGGTTGAATGATAGTTCTGTTTTTAGCTCTTTGAGGAACTGCCTCACTGCTTTCCACAGTGGTTGAACTAACTTACACTTCCACCAACCATATGTAAGTGTTCCTCTTCTTCACAACCTTACAAGCATCTGTTATTTTTTGACTTTTTAGTAATAGCCACTCTGGTTTGAGATGGTATCTCATGTTGGTTTTGATTTGCATTTCTCTATTGATCTGTGATATGGAGTTTTTTTCCATATCCTTGTTGGCTACATGTACATCTTCTTTTTAAGAGTGTCCATTCATGCCCTTTATCCACTTTTTAATGGGTTTTTTTCTTATAAATTTGTTTAAGTTCTTTATAGAGGCTAGATATTAGACTTTTGTCTACATAATTTGCAAAATTTTTCTCCCATTCTGTAGGTTGTCGTTTACTCTGTTGATAGTTTATTTTGCTCTGTAGAAGCTCTTTAGTTTAATTAGACACCATTTGTCAATTTTTGCTTTTGATGCAATTACTTTGGGCATTTTCATAATGAAATATTTGCCAGTTCCTATCTTCAGAATGGTATTACCTAGGTTGTCTTCCAGGGTTTTTATAATTTTGGTTTTTACATTTAAGTCTTTAATCCATCTTGAGTTGATTTTTATATATGGTGTAAGCAAGGGATCCAGTTTCAATCTTCTGCATATGGCTAGCCAGTTATCCCAGCACCATTAATTAAATAGGAGTCCTTTCCCCATTGCTTGGTTTTTTCAGCTTTGTCAAAGGTCAGATGGTTGTAGGTGTGTGGCATTATTTCTGGGCTCTCTGTTCTGTTCCACTGGTCTATGTGTATGTTTTTGTACCAGTACCATGCTGTTTTGGTTACTGTAGCCCTGTAGAATAGTTTGAAGTCAGGTAACATAATGCCTCCAGCTTTGTTCATTTTGCTCAGGATTGCCTTGGCTATTTGGGCTCTTTTTTGGTTCCATATAAATTTTAAAATAGATTTTTTTTTCTAATTTTGTGAAGAATGTCATTGGTAGTTTGATAGGAATAGCAGTGAATCTCTAAATTGCATTGGGCACTATGGCCATTTTAAAGATATTGATTCTTCCTATCATGTACATGGAATATTTTTCCATTTGTTTGTGTCATCTCTGACTTCTTTAAGCAGTGTATTTTAATTCTCATTGTAGAGATCTTTCACCCGATTCGTTGTATTCCTAGATATTTTTTTTGTGTGTGTGTGTGGTAGCTGTGAATGGGATTGTGTTCCTGATTTGGCTCTCAGCTTGGCTGTTGTTGGGGTATAAGAATGCTGATTTTTCTATGGTGATTTTGTATCCTATAACTTTGCTAAAGTTGTTTATCAGTTTAAGGAGCTTTTGAGCCACGACTATGGGGTTTTCTAGATATAGAATCATGTCATCTGCAAACAGGGATAGTTTGACTTCTCTCTCTATTTGGATGCCCTTTATTTCTTCTGTTTGCCTGATTACTCCAGCCAGAACTTCCAAAACTATATTGAATAGGAGTGATGAGAGAGGGCATCCTTGTCTTGTGCCAGTTTTTAAAGGAAATGCTTCCAGCTTTTGCCCATTCAGTTGATGCCGACTGTAGGTTTGTCTTAAATAGCTCTTATTATTTCAAGGCACGTCCCTTCAATGCCTAGTTTATTGAGTTTTTTTTTTTTTAACATAAAGAGGTGTGGAATTTTATTGAAAGTCGTTTCTGCATCTATGGGGATGATTGTGTGGTTTTTGTCTTTAGTTCTGTTTATGTGATGAATCACATTTATTGATTTGCTTATTTTGAACCAACCTTATAACCCAGAAATAAAGCCTACTTGATCGTGGTGGATAAGTTTTCTGATTTGCTGCTGAATTTGGTTTGCCAGTATTTTGTTGAAGATTTTTACATTAATGTTCATAAAGGCCTGAAATTTTCTTTGTTGTGTCTCTGCCAGGTTTTGGTATCAGGATGAGGCTAGTCTCATAGAATAAGTTGGGGAGAAGTCCCTCCTCCTCAATTTTTGGGAATAGTTTCAAAAGGAATGGTACTTTGTAGTAGGCTCTTCTTTGTATATCTGGTAGAATTTGACTGTGAATCTGTCTGGTTCTTGGCTTCTTTTGGTTGGTAGGCTATTTATTAGTGATTCAATTTCAAATCTCATTATTGGTCTGTTCAGGGAATCAAATTCTTCTTGACTGAGTATTGGAAGGGTATATGTGTCCAGGAATTTATCCATCTATTCTAGGTTTTCTTGTTGGTGTGCATAGTAGTCTCTGATAGTTATTTGTATTTCTGTGGGTTCAGTGGTAATATCCCCTTTGTCATTACTGATTGTGTTTATTTGGATCTTCTCTCTTCTCTTCCGTATCACTCTAGCTAGCAATCTATCTTAATAATTTTTTCAAAATGCCAATTCCTGGATTCATTGATCTTTTGAATGTTTTTTGGTGTCTTGATTTCCTTCAGTTCAGTGCTGATTTTAGTTAATTTTTGCCTCTGCCAGCTTTGGGATTGGATTGTTCTTGCTTCTCCAGTTCTTCTAGTTTTGATATTAAGTTGTTAATTTGAAATCTTTCTAACTTTTTGATGTGGGCATGTAGTTCTATAAGTTTCCTTCTAAACAGTGCCTTAGCTGTGTCCCCGAGATCCTGGTATGTTGTCTCTTTGTTCTGATTAGTTTCAAAGAACTTCTTGATTTCTGCCTTAATTTCATTATCTACCCGAAAGTCATTCAGGAGCAGGTTGTTTAATTTCCACATAGTTGCATTGTGTTGAGTGATTTTTTTTCGGTCTTGATTTCTGTTTTTATTGTGCTGTGGTGCGAGAATGTGTTTGGTATGACTTCTGTTCTTTTGCATCTGCTGATAATTGTTTTATATCTAATTGTGTGGTGATTTTAGAATATGTACCACATGGTGATGGGAAGAATAATGCATATTGTGTTGTTTGGGGGAGGATAGTTCTGTATACATCTATCAGACCCATTTGGTTCAATGTTGAGTTCAGGTCCTGAATATCTTTGTTAATTTTCTGCCTCAGTGTTCTGACTAATATAGTCAGTGGGGCATTGAAGTCTCTCACTATTATTGTGTGAGAGTTGAAGTCTGTTGGTAGGTCTCTAAGAACGTACTTTATGAATCTGAGTGCTCTTGTGTTGGGTGTATCTATATTTAGGATAGTTAAGTCTTCTTACTGAATTTAACTCCTTACCATTATGTAATGCCCTTCTTTGTCTTTTTTGATCTTTGTTGGTTTAAAGTCTGTTTTGTCTGAAGTTAGGATTGGAACCCCTGCTTTTTTCTGATTTCTATTTTCTTGGTAGATTTTCCTCCATCCCTTTATTTTGAGCCTATGGATGTCATTGTGTGTGAAATGGGACTCTCGAAGATAGCATACCATTGGGTCTTGCTGTTTTTATCCAGCTTGCCACAGATTAGTATTGTACTAAATGCCTTTTAAATGGGGCATTTAGCACATTTACTTTCAAGAATAGTATTGATGTGTGTGGATTTGAACCTGTCACTGTGGTGTTAGCTGGTTATTATGCCAGCTTGTTTGTGAGGTTTGTTTATTGTATCACTGCTCTGTGTACTTACATGTGTTTTTGTAGTGGTTGGTAACTTTCTTTCCTTCCATACTTAGTGCTCCTTTCAATATCTCTCGTAAAGCAGGTCTGATGATAACAAACTCCCTTAGTATTTGCTTATCTGGAAAGGATCTTATTTCTCCTTCACTTAGGAAGCTTATTTTGGCTAGATATGAAATTTTTGGTTGAAGATTTTTTCTTTAAGAATATTGAATATAGGCCTCCATTCTCTTCTGGCTTGTAGGGCTTCTACTGAGATGCCCACTGTTAGCCTGATGGGATTCCCTTTGTAGGTGACCTCCCCTTTCTCTCTAGCTGTCTTTAACATTCTTTCTTTCATTTCAACCTTGTAAAACTTGATTACTATGTGCCTTGAGGATGATCTTCTTGTGTGGAATCTTGCAAGGGTTCTCTCTATTTCCTGAGTTTGACTCTTAGCCACTCTAGCATGGTTGGGGAATTTTTCACGGACTCTATACTGAAATATGTTTTTCAAGTTATTTGCTTTCTCCCTCTCCCTTTCTGAGATGCCAGTGATTCATGAATTTGGACTCCTTACATAATCCCATGTTTTTCCAAGGTTTTGTTCATTCCTTTTCATTCTTTATTTTTGTTTGGCTGTCTTATTTCAGAGAACGAGGCTTCAAGTTCCAAGATTTTTTCCTCAGCTTGGTCTATTCTGCTGTCAATACTTGTGATTGCATTGTGAAATCCTTGTAGTGTGTTTTTCAGGTCTATCGGACCAGGGAAATTCTTCTTTTTTAACAGCTATTTCATCTGTCAGCTCCAGTATCATTTTATTGTGATTCTTAATTTCCTTGGATTGGTTTTTGCTGTTCTCCTGAATCTCACTGATCTTCGTTCCAATCCATATTCTGAATTCTATTTCTGTCATTTTAGCCAAGTCAGTCTGGTTAAGAACCTTTGTTAAAGAACTAATGTGGTGATTTGGAGGATACAGGACACTGGCCTTTTGAATTGTTGGAGTTCTTGCGTTGGTTCTTTCTCATCTCTGCATGTGGCTATTGCTCCAACTGCTAGGCTGTCGAAGTAGTCAGGCAGCAGCAGCGTGGTTGTGCTGAAGTCTCAGGTCAGGCAGCCCTGCTCAGTGAGGAGAAGTGAGGATGGGGGCATGCATGGAGAACAGTCCAGCTACTTTTCTATGAAATGGGTGCTCTGTCCTGGGGGTCTTGACCAGTCCATAATCCTGGGTACTCTCCAGAGCCTGGAGACAGCAAGGGCAAGGGCTGTGAGAAAGCAAAGAGGGCAACCTGCTCCTCCTACTGGGTACTCTGTCCCAGGAAGTTGCAGAGTTGCTACTGGCTTGATAGTTCCAGGTGGAGGTGGCAGAAGACCCAGGTTGGGAAGACCAACCCAGGGAGGAGATATGGGATCAGGGACCCATGTAACAAGCAGTCAGGCTGCTTTTTCACAGGGCTGCTGCAGTATGCTGGCAATCCACTCTAGTCCCTAGTTACCTCAGATTTTCTAGTACCTGAAGGCATCTTCAGTGAAGGCTGCAAAACAGCAAAGATGGTGGCCTGCCCCTCCATCTGGGAGCTCCACCCCAGGGAGATACAGATCTGTTGCCAGCCTGAACACACTGGCAGTGGTGGCTGGAAACCTCGGTAGGGAGCTCCCACCCAGTGGGAAGGAAGGGGATGAGGGACCTACTTTATAGAGCACTCTGGCACTTTTCCGTACAGCAGCCGTGCTGTGCTGGGGGGTCTGCTCCAGCCCCCAGTCACCTTAGACTCTCCAAAGCCTGAAGGTGACAGTGGCTAAAGCTGCAAAACAGAAAAGATGATGACCCTCCCTTCCCTTTGGGAGCTCCATCCCAGGTAGGTTTGGAATTGCTGCTAGCTGGAAAACACCTGTGGGGGTGGTTGTAGACCTTGGTTGTGGGATTCCACTCAGTGAAGAGAAATGGGTTCCAGGGTCTGTATGAAAAAGCAGTCTGGCTGCCTCTTCATAGAGCTACTGTGCTGTGCTGGGGGACCACTCCAGTTCCTAGACACCTTGAATTCCTCAGAACCTGAAGGCATCAATGACTAAAGCTGCAAAATAGCCAAGTGGGCAGACTGCCCCTCCCTCTGGGATCTGTGTCTCAGGGAAATGTAATGTTGCTACTCATGGCTAGCTGGAGTTCCAAGCCACAGGGTCTTATCCTGCAAGATGCCATGGAAGCAAGGCCTGCAGACTGTGGCTGCTCAGTCCCCTAGATTCAGCCTCTTCTCTAGGGGTATGTATGGGGGTCTTACCTCCCATTTTGCTGGAGTTGCAGCCACTTTTGCCAGGAACCCTGGGTATCTAAAGCTTCTGGGGCTCCACATGTGCCTGAGCAGCTGCTCTGCCAAGACTCCACATAGCTTGGCCTGTTAGAATGAAGGCCTTGGTGGACTGGGTTTATGAGGGAATCTCCTGACCCAAGAGTTGCAAAGATCCATGGGAGAAGCATGGATCCCCAGGGTTGCTCACTTACTCACTGCTTCCCTGGGTGGGGAGGCTCCTCTGGCTCCATGCGACTCCGAGTGGGCGGTCATCCTACCTTGCCTTGTTCCATCCTCTGCAGGTCAAGTTCTTTTCTTAATGAATCCCAATGCATGTACCTAGGTGTTTCAGTTAAAGGTTACTTTCCCCTTCTATTTCTTTCCATGAGAGTGGCACACACTAACTGCTTCTAGTTGGCCATCTTCCAGCATAGAATTTTCATTTCCACTGCAAGGTGTTTCTGTTTAATTTTTTTCTGTATGTTTTCTTGTAGAATATGTTCTTTCAACTCTTCTTTCATAATTCTATATATAAAAATATATAAATCCTTGACAAATGTACTATTTTGTGTATATTTCTATCTTTGAAATTCTTACAAATAATTTAGGGTTATTAATCTTATGTTGCTTACACTTTTTTTCCCCTAAGTGTTATGTTCTGGGCATTCATCTATCCTCTCATCAGCTTTTGATCTACCACATCTTGGGTAAGTATATAAACCAATTCACTTCCTCCACTGCATAGAATTCCTTCTTGTGCAGGTAACTTAATTTATATATAAACAATAGTACCCAAGTTATTTTCAGTGCTTTGCTACTATGCACAAGCTACAGTGACCATCCTGTTAGTGGTCACTGTAAATATCGGTTAGGTTCCCTAGCAAGTTTAGTCCAATAGGGAAATTGCTGAATCAAAGGAGAAATGATAACTTAATTGTAATGCTTTCTGGAATGATTACATCAGTATATATTCCATCATTGCTTGAGGGTTTCTTTTTTTTTCTTTTTTTTGAGATGAAGTCTTGCTCTGTCACTCAACCTGGAGTGCAGTGGTGCGATCTTAGCTCACTGCAACCTCCACCTCCTGGATTCAAGCAATTCTCCTGCCTCAACGTCCCCACTAGCTGGGATTACAGAAGTGCACCACCACGCCTGGCTACTTTTTTTGTATCTTTAGTAGAAGACGGGGTTTTGCCATGTTGGTCAGGTTGGTCTTGAACCCCTGACCTCAAGTGATCCACCTGTATGGCCTCCCAAATTGCTGGGATTACAGGCGTGAGCCACCGTGCCCAGCCAGGTTTCTTGTTTTCCATATAATTAACACATTTACTAATATCCAGCTATCCAATGTTGTCAGTGATAAGTAAACTTGTATCTCTTTGTGTAATTTACTTTTTTCTTTTTTTTTTCTGGCTATTACTGAGGTTGCATATGCACGTATATGTATTGGTCTTTGAGATTTTTCTTACTTTGAATTGTCTATTTCTTTACCTGTTTTACATGAGTTTTCTCATCAATTTAAAGGAGTTCCATGTATAATATATGTGTTCATCCCTTGTTGACTTTAGATGTTTCAATATATTTAACCAGTCTATCTCTAATTTTTTGTCTATGGCATCCTTAATTAAACAGATTTTTTTGATACAGTCAAATTAGCCCTAAGTAGCGAAATTATATACAGGGCTATGACAAGGAAACAAAAAGGCCCAACATGAAACCTTTCCCTTCATCCTTTACAGGTTTTGTTTTGTTTTGTTTTTTTACCATTTCCCACACATATACAATCATTATTCAATCACCATTGTCTCTCTACAGGATATGAATAATGTTTCTGTTAATGAGCCAGCCTCTGGGAACCATCACTCTCCTATTGCTTAAGATTTCCAGGTATAAGAAGTCAGCATTGTATGCCAGTTGGCTATCTTGTTCCCCAAACTTCTTAGAGCCATTGGATTTACCAACTATCTTCCTTTCCTTACCATGATCTATAAATTAAACTAAGATTGTTTTCTTGGAGGACAGCAACAACTTCAACATTTCAAAACTTCCTCAGTTATTCAATACAAAATTTGGATTGGCATTTGATTCTCTGTAATCATCCATTTTTAAAAATGTTCTACCTTTCTACTTGATTTCATTTATTTGTTCACTGTATGCCTTGCCTAAGAACTAAACATAGGCATTCTTCTATATTTTGGTCACAGGATAATTTTTGCCTTTTTCTTTCATTTTTTTTTTCTGTAAGCAACTTGACCACTGCCATGTTTTGAATTATCTCAATGCATGGAACTTATAGATGTACAAATCTACATCTGTAATCCTGACCTCTTTTCCTAAACTTTAAGCACATTTTTTTCTTTCTATTTTTTAAAAATCACTTCCAACTTGATGTTAAAATATCAAGTGCTTTTGCTTTTCATGGGTTTCTTAGCCCTGCTGTGGCTGCTGTGATTCTCCCTACCATCCAGTTTTCAAATCTAGTCATTTTCTTTTTCTGCTCCACTACTCAATTAAGTAGTGAGCATTCAAGAAGTGTAGATACCCTCATTGATTCTCATGACATTTTCTTCATTGTATTTTTAGAATAAAACTCTCGATCTGGCTACCTACTCCGGTAGCAGACATAACCTTATTTTTTAAATTGAACTTTGCATTCAGATAGATGTATATTCAGATGCAGTTGTAAAAGTCAATATAGATTCTCCTCTACACTTCACTCAGTTTCCCCTACTGATAACATTTTGCAAAACTGTAGTGTAATTCTGCAACTACAATACTGACATTGATACAAACTGGTCATCTTATTCAGATTTCTCCAGTTTTACTTTTGTGTTTATTCAGCACTATATAATATTGATGTTGTTTTTAACTTTTAATAAAAACTTTATTTTTAGAGAAGTTGTAGATTCACAGCAAAATTGAGCAGAAGTACAGAGATTTCCCACATACACCCTGTCCCCACACATGCACAACTTCTTCCACTGTCAACAACTTCCACCATAGTCGTACATTTGTTACACTCTGTGAAGTTGCACTGAGACATCATTATCACCTAAATTACCTAGTTTACATTAGCATTCAATCATGATATTGTACATTCTATGGGTATTGACAAATGCTTATTGACAAATATCTGCTGTCATAATATCATACAGAATAGTTTCACTGCCTTAAAATTACTTGTGCTCTGCCTATTCATCCCTCCTTCTCCCCATACCCCAGCAACCACTGATATTTTTAGCCTCCATAGTTTTGCATTTTCTGGAATGTCATATAGTTAGAATTATACAGTATGCATATAGTAGCCTTTTCAGATGGGCATATTTCACTTAGTAACACGCATTTATGTTTTCTCCATGTATTTTCATAGAGAAAAACTTTTCGATGTTTTTTAGTATTGAACAATATTCCATTGTCTGGTTGTACCATAGTTTATTTATCCAATCACCTATTAGAGGACAACTTGGTTGATTCCAAGTTTTGGCAGCTATAAATAAAGCAACTATAAACATCCCTGTGCAGGAACTTCTGTTGGCAAAAGTTTTCAATTTATTTGGATAAATACCAAGGAGTACAATTGCTAGATTACATAGTATAAGTATGTTTAGCTTTATAAGAAACTATCAAAGTGTCTTTCGAAGTGGTTGTACTATTTGCATTCTCACCAGCATTGAATGAGAGAGTCTCTTTACATCCTCACCAGCATATGGTATTATCGATGTTTTGGATTTTGGCCGTTCAGGTATGTATGTAGTAGAATCTTATTTTTGTTTTAATTTGCAATTTCCTAATAACACAATGTTAAACATCTTTTCAAATGCTTATTTGCCGTCTTTGATGGGGTGAACAGACATTCAAGTCTTTTACTCGCTTTGAAACTAGGTTGTTCATTTTCTTATTGCTGAGTTTTAGGAGTTTTTGCATATTTTGGATAAAAGTTCTTTATCAGGTGTGTCTTATGCATATATTTTCTCTCAGTCTGTAGATTGTCTTCTTTTTCTCCTGACATTGTCTTTCACAGAGCGGAAGTTGTTAATTAAGTTCAGTTTTTAAATTATTTATTTAAATGGATGGAGCCTTTGGTGTTTTACCTAGAAAGTCATCTTACTGAACACCACATAGGTATAGTTTTGCATTTTACATTTATGTCTATAATCCATTTTGAGTTAATATTTTTGAAGGATTAATGTCTGTGTGTAGATTTCTTTGTATATAGATGTCCAGTTTTTCAAGCACCATTTATTGAGAAGACTAATTGCTTCATAATATTGCCTTTGCTCCTTTGTCAAAGACCAGTTGACTGGATTTATTTCAGTCTATTTCTGAGCTCCTATTGTTAGTCTATTCAGCAATTAGTTGATCAATTAGTCTATTTTTTCACCAATACCACATTGTCTTGATTACTGTTTCTTTATAATAAGGCCTGTGTTTAACCATGTTTTGAAGTATAATACTCACAATCTGTACATCTGTAGTGAATATAATAAAATCTAAATGAGTTTGGCATTATGAATTGATTCATTGCATACATTGTGTGAGTTTGAATGTATGCATATAGCTATAAAACCATCACCACTATCAAAGTAACCTTGAAAAGTTTCCTTATGCATCTCCCTTTTTAATAGAAGGTTTATAATTGTCAGTTTTTTAATTTAGTTATTCTCTTTCAATACTGCATTGACTATGCTAAATCTTTTCACTCTCTATATACGCTTTAAAATCAGTTTGTTGATATTCAAAGAATAACATGCCAGGATTTTGATTATGATTACATTGAACCTATAGATAATGTTAGAAATAACTGATATCTTGACAATATTGAGTCTTCCTATCTATGAACATGAAATATCTCCATTTAGCTCTTCTTTGATATCTTTTATCAGAGTTTGTTTTTGTTTTTGTTTTTGTTTTTTTGAGATACAGTCTCGCTCTGTCGCCCAGGCTGCAGTGCAGTGACGTGATCTCGGCTCACTGCAAGCTCCGCCTCCCGGGTTCACGCCATTCTTCTGTCTCAGCCTCCTGAGTGGCTGGGACTACAGGCACCCACCAACACGCCCAGCTAATTTTTGTATTTTTAGTAGAGCCGGGGTTTCACTGTGTTAGCCAGGATGGTCTCAATCTCCTGACCTCGTGATCCACCCGCCTCGGCCTCCCAAAGTGCTGGGATTACAGGCGTGAATCAGAGTTTTATAGTTTTTCTCATATAGGTCTTGAACATATTTTGTCAGATTTATATCTAAGTAATCCATTTTTGGAGGGGGATGCTGAGTAAATATTATTATGCTTCTAATTTCAAATCCCGCTTGTTCATTGTTGTATGTAAGAGAGCAATTGGCTTTCTTATGTTAACATTATATACTGCAACCTTGTTAGGATAACTTATTAGTTTCAAAAGCTTTCTTTGTAAATTCTTTCAGATTTTCTAGTTAGATGACCATGCCATCTTCAAACAAATACTGTTTTATTTTTTCCATTCCAATCTATATATTTATTTATTTATTTTTCTTGTCTTATTGCACTAGCTAGGACTTCCAATATTATGTTAAAAAGGAATGATGAGAGGAGATACCCTTGCCACTTTGTTCCTGATCTTAGTGGAAAAGCTTCTAGTTTCTCAGCATTAAATATGGTATTAGCTGTAAGATTTTTGTAGGTGTTCTTTATCAAATTGAAAAAGTTCTGATATATCTCTGGTACAGTGAGAGTTTTAATTACGAATGAAATGTGAAATTTTGTCAAATGGTTTTTTTGAAACCTATTGATAAGATCATGTGATTTTTTTCTAGTTAGTGCATTGATATGATGGTTTACATTGATGTTTGAAATTTGAATGAGCTTTGCATACTGGGATAAATTGCACTTTGTCAAGGTGTATAATTCTTTTTCTATATTGTTGGTTTTAATTTGATAATATTTTGTTGAGGATTTCTGTGTCTATTAATAAAAAAGATTGGTTTGTAGTTTTACTTTCTTGTAATGTCTTTGGCAGGTTTTGGTATTAGGGTAATGCTGATTTTACAGAATGAGTTATTCAATATTTCCTCTTCATCTGTTTTCTGAAAGAGACTGTAGAGAATTGATATAATTTGTTTCTTAAATGTCTTGTTGAATTCACCAGTGCACCCATCTAGACCTGGTACTTTCTGTTTTGGAAGGTTATTGATTACTGATGCAATGTCTTTAATAGATACAAACAAATTCATATTTTCTATTCTTTCTTTTGTGAGTTTTGGCAAATTATGTCATTCAAGGAATTCGTTTGTTTTATCTGAGATATCAGATTTGTGGGCACACAGTTGTTCAGAATGTTCTTTTGTTATCCTTTTAATGTTCATAAGCAGGTAGTGATGTCCCCTCTTTCATTTCTGATATTAGTAATTTGTGTTTCTCTTTTTGGCTTAGTTAGGCTTGCTGGGGCAAGAGGCTCATTGACTTAACTGGTCTTTTTATAGAATCAGCTTTTGGGTTTTGTTGATACTCTGTATTGATTTCTTGTTTAATTTCATTGATTTCTGCTCTAATTTTTACTAACTCTTCTCTTCTTCCTACTTTGTATTTAATTTGCTCTGCTTTTCTAGTTTCCTAAGGGGAAAAATTAGATAACTGATTTTAGATGATTATTTCTAATATATGCATTCAGTGGCATAAATTTCCCCATAAGCACTGCTTTCATTACATCTCACAAATTATGATGAGTTTTATTATTATTTTCATTTAGTTCAACTTATTTTTTAGTTTCTCTTAAGATTTCTTCTTTGACTCATGTGTTATTAGAAGTGTGTTGTTTAATCTCTAAGTATTTTAGAATTTTCCAGCCATCTTTCTGTTGATTTCTAAATTGATTTCCATTATAGATTCCATCATGATCTGAGAGCAGACATAGGATAGATTTATTCTTTTAAATTTATTAAGGTGTGACTTACATAACATAATACAATCTAAACTGGTGAATATTCCATGTGAGCTTGAGAAGAATGTGCATTCTGCTGTTGTTCAATGGAGTAATCAATAGATGCCACATATTTCCAGTTGATGGATGAGTTATTGAATTCCAGTTATTGAGTTCAACTGTGTTCTTACTGAGTTTTTGACTGCTGAATCTATTCATTTCTGAATGGGATCTCCAATTATAATAGTGGACTCATTTATTTTTTCTTGCAACTCTGTCAGTTTTTGGTTTTTGTCTCATCTATTTTGACACTTTCTTGTTAAACACATGTACTTTAAGGGTTGTTATATCTTCTTGGTGTATTACCTCCATTATCAATATATAATGTCTCTGTTTATCTCTGATAACTTTACTTGCTCTGAAGTCTGCTCTAAATTTAACATCGATATTAAAATTAACAGATACTTTGCTTTTTTAGTGCTAGCAAGGTATATTTTCCTTTACTCATTTACTTTCAATGTGTACGTGTCTTTATATTCAAAGTGGGTTTCTAATAGATGGCATATAGTTGAGTCTTCTTGTTTGATATACTCAATCTTGTCTTTTCATTAGTGTATTTAGACTTGATATTTCAGATTAATATTGATATGGTTCAATTAATTTCTACCATATTTGTTCATGTTTTCTGTTTGTTTTCCTTTTCATTTTGTCTATTTTTGTTTTTACACTTTTTCTCTTTTTTATAGTTTTATTATTTAATTTTTTTTATTTTTAATTATTATAAATACATAATAGTTGCACAAATTTATGGGGTAGCTGTGAAATTTTGATCCGAGCATAAAATGTGCACTGCCTAAATCAGAGTAATTGGGATATCCATCAACTCAAGCATTTATCATTTGTTGGTGTTAGGAGTGTTCCAATTCTACTCTTTTTGTTATTTTGAAATAAAAGTTATTGTTAGCTACAGTAGTCCTATTTTACTACCAAATACTAGGTTTTATTCCTTCAATATAATTTTTTTTTTTTTTACCCATGAAATATAGCCTTTTATCACTCTCCCACCTACTACTCTTCCCAGCCTGTGGTAACCATCATTCTACTTTAACTCCATGAGATAAACTTTTTTAGCTTTCAATACGAGTGACAACATGTGATATTTGTCTTTCCATGCTTGGTTTATTTCATTTAACATAATAATTGGTCCCATCCATGTTGCTACAAATGATAAGATTTCATTCATTTCATGTCTGAATAATTCCATTTTGTATATCTACATTTGCTTTATTCATTAACCCACTGCTGGACACTTAGGTTAATTCCATAGACTGGCTATTGTGACGGTGGATTATATGGTAGTTCTACCTTTAGTTTTTTGAGGAATCTCCAAATTGTCTTCCATACTGGCAGTACTAATTTATATTATCACCAGCAGTGTATGAGGGCTCCCTTTTCTTCAAACATGCCAGCTTTGCCTGTCTTTTGATAAAAGCCATTTTAACTGGAGTGAGATGATGTCTCATTTTAGTTTTGTTTTGCACTTCTCTGACAATTAGTGATGTTGAGCATTTTTCCATTTATCTGTTGGCCATTTGTATGCCTCATTTTAAGAATGCCTATTCTGATATTTTTTCCATTTTAAATGAGATTATTTGACTTTTTGCTATTGAGTTGTTTGAGCTCCTTATATTCAGGTTATTAATCTCCTGTCAGATGGGTAGTTTGTAAATATTTTCTCACATCCTGTGGTTTGCCTCTTCATTTTGTTGAATATTCTCTTTGCTATCCAGAAGCTTTGTAGCTTGATGAGAAGGATTAAAAACCGTATGATCATTTCAATAGATGCCAAAAAGTATTTGATAAAATTCAATATCCCGTCATGATAGAAACTCTCAAAAAACTGAGTATTAAAGAAACATACCTCAAGACAATAATAACTGTATATGACAAACTTATAGCTGGTATCATACTGAAGGAGAACAACAGAAAGCCTTTCCTTTTTATTTCTTTATTTTTTATTTTTTATTTTTTGAGACAGAGTCTTGCTGTGTCACCCAGGCTACAGTGCAGTGGCATGATCTTGGCTCACTGCAGCTTCAGCCTACCTGGTTCAAGTGAGTCTCCTGCTTCAGCCTCTCGAGTAGCTGGGATTACAGGTATGCGCCACCATACCCGGCTAATTTTTGTATTTTTAATAGAGACGGGGTTTCACCATGTTGGCTAGGCTAGTCTCGAACTCCTGACCTCAGGTGATCCACCCACCTTGGCCTCCCAAAGTGCTGGGATTAGAGGCATGAGGCAGTGTGCCTGGCTGAAACAAGATGAGGATGCCCACTTTCACCCTTTTATGTAACATAATACAGGAAGTCCTAGCCAGAGAGATTACATAAAGGAAAGAAATAAATGGCATCCAAATTGGAATGGAAGAAGTCAAATTATTCTTGTTTGCAGATTATATAATCTTAATTTCAGAAAAACCTAAAGATTCCACAAACAAAACCATTCAAACCAATAAACAAATTCAGTAAAGTTGCAGCATACAAAATCAACATACAAAAAAGAATAGCATTTCTGTATGCCAACAGCAAACAGTCTGAAATAGAAACTGTGAAAGTAATACCATTTACAATAGCCACAAACAAAATAAAATACACAGTAATAAACTTAACCAAAAATTGAAAGATCTCTACAATGAAAACTATAAAACATCACTAAAAGAGATGGAAGAAGACACCAAAAAAGTGAAAAGATATTCCATGATGATGAATCAAAGAATCAATGTTATTAAAATGTCCATTCTACCCAAGGCAATGTATAGATTCAACGCAATCCTTATCAAAATACCAATGACATTCTTCACAGAAATAGAAAATATAAGACTAAAATGTATATGGAATCAGAAAAAGCCCTGAATAGCTAAGGCAACCCTGAGCTAAAAGAACAAAGCTGAAGTCATCACATTACTAAACTTCAAATTATACTACAAAGTTATAGCAATTGAAACATTGTAGTACTGGCATACAGACACATAGACCAATAGAACAGAATAGAGAACTCAGAAATAAATCCACACATTTTCATTCAACTCACTTTTGACCGAGGTATTAAAAACATGCATTGGAGAAAGGACAGTTTATTCAACAAATAGCTCGGGGAAAACTGGATATCTATATGCTGGAGAATGAAACTAGACTGCTATCTCACCTTACACAAAAACAAAATCAAAATGAATTAAAGACTTACATCTAATACCTGAAACTATGAAACATCGGGGAACCATTTCAGGATATTGGTGTGGGGAAGGATTTCTTGAATAAGACCTCAAAACCACAGCCAACCATAGTAAAAATGGACAAATTAGATCACATTATATATTTTACAGTTTGAATATTTTCTGATTTTATTTTCTCTCATTTCTTAGCATGTTAATTATACTTTTTTTCTTTGTACTTTTTTAGTTGTTACCTTAGAATTTTGCAACATAAATTTACAATTAATCCAAACCTGCTTTCAAATAACACCATATCACCACGTAGGTAAGCCAAGTACCTTATAATAACAAAATATTACTAGCTTCTCCCTTCTGTCCTTATAGTATTGTTACATTCATTTCACATATGCATAAGCATGCATATATATGTGTATGTATATATATATATATACACACATATATGTGTACATAATTGAATACACTATTGCTATTATTATTATTGTTTTCTGTTAGATCAACTAAGGAAAAGAAAAGTTAGTATTTTACCTTTACTTATGCATTTTCTGGTGCTCTTCCTTTATTTATGTTGATCTGAATTTCTGACCTACATAATTTTTTCCCTATGAAGAACTTCTTTTGCAAGGCAGGTTTACTAATGAAAAAAAATCCCTTAATTTTTATTTTTCTGAGGAAATCCTTATTGCTCCTTTACTTTTGAAGAATAACCTCACAAGGTGCAGAGCTTTAAGTTGGTGGGTTTTATCTCTTAACACTTAAAATATTTTATCCCACTCTCTTCTTGCTATGCAGCAAGCTTGCTTGCTTCCTTGTTTCTCAGGAGAAGTCAGTTGTAGTTCTCTGCTCCTCTATAGGTGAACTGTTCTTTTCCTCTGGTTTCTCCCAAGATTTTTTTTCAGCTTTGATTTTCTAAGTTTTTATATGATAAATGCCTAGATGTACTTTTTTGGCATTTATTCTTCTTGGTATTTTCTGAGATTTCTGGATCTGTAGTTTGGTGTCTGACATTAATTTAGGGAATTTGTAATTTTTGCGTCCATATTGCTTTAGCTCCTATCTCTCCTTCTTCTCTTTCCAGCATTATCATTATGTATAAGTTACATCTATTTATAGTTATGCCACAGTTCTTGCACATTGTGTTCTATTCTTAGCATTTTAGTCATAGTTTAAGTTGTTTTTTTTTTTTAAATTCCTGGTCTGATAATTCCAACATTCCTGCCATATCTGAATATTGCTCTGATGATTGTCAGGTCGCTTCAAACAGTTCTTTTGCCTTTCAGTGTTTCTTGTTAATTTTTTTATTACACCTTGTTGAAAGGTAGATGTGTTGTGCCAGGTAAAAGAAACTTCTATAAACAGGCTTATAGTAATAAAGTGGTAAGAAGGGAGTGGACAGGAAGTGATGTATAGTCCTACTATTACATCTCAGTCTTACGGTAATCCCATGCCTCTGGACTGCAGACTTTTCTCAGTCTCCCTACTCCCCACATTAGGTGAGACAAAATGACTAGATGGGCTACAGTTGGGTATTTCCCTACCCTTAGGTAGATTAAGCTCTGATATAATCCCAGCAGGTTAGGTTCTGGTTAATTAGTTTCTTTTGAGGGTAGGCCTAATTAAGAAGAAGAGAATTCTCTGGTGTGTTTCAAAATGTTTCCTATTCCCCTTCCCTTGCCAGAGGCATGAGGGGATTTTTCTCCAGTATTCACTGTTAGGATCTGGTAGAATTCCTGGAAATAAAAGTTGTAAGAGTCTGAGGGTCCCCCTAGAGTTTTTAACTCTCAGACTTGTACATTCTGAGCCTCCAGCTATCCATCAACTACTGTTCAGATTTTTCTAACCCAGCACTGTTGCTATGAAGGTTTCTACTAACGGATTTCTACTCCAGTAAGCTGTGATTCTCTGTATGCACCTATCTCTCCAATTGTTGGGGCAGTAGATTTGTCCTGAGACCCCACTTGTCTGATGGAGCTAAGAAGAGTTTTTAATGTTTTAGTTTGTTCAGCTTTTTATCTTTTGCTAGGACTGAGTGAAGACTTCTAAACTCCTTAGGTGCTTGACCAGAAACCAGAAGTCTCTAACTTTATAAACATACATACATTTGGTTTGGTCTGTTTCTTCCCCCTTTGAATTTCTTTATTAAACCTGTCAAATTTTGTCCAGGCTTCATGATTAACCTAAAAATGCTACCTAATATCTGACACTTGATCTCCCAACTTAGACATAATTTGTTTTTATTTTTAAATTTATATCTACTATATTTTAAGGTACTTATTAATTTTGACTCCTGTGGGAAGTGTACATGAAGCTAAGCATGTATTTAGATTAAGTGCTAATTAGTCAGACTTCCCAGAAAAAGTAGGATTTGAACTGGTTCTGAAAAATGAGTCATATACTGACCAAATGGTCTCTGACAAATAATTTGACATTTTTGGTATTTTGAGAACACTATATTCAAAATGCACTTTTAAATAAGCTTTCTCTTATGTGCTTTATAACTGGGGTTGACAAACTACAGCCAGTGGACCAAATCCAGCCCCTGACTATTTTTGTAAGTAAAGTTTCATTGCAATATAACTACTTCAGATTATTACCAAGACCGTATGTCCTGCCAACCTGAACATTTACTATCTGGCACTTTATAGAAAAATCCTGAGGACCTCTGCTTTAAAAGTATAAATGGAACACAGATTGAGAGCCCTTTGGGATCTAAAAAACCCCAGCAATACAAATTCCAAGTTTGTATTAGTTTTTTTATTTTTGTTAATCTGAATTGCTCCTCAAAGTTTGAGTCCCTGAATGGCAGCATTGACATCACCTGGGAAAGAAGTACAAACTTTCCATTATGTAAGATGAATAAACTTGGAGATCTAATAGAATGTATAGCTTTTTGAAAATGCTAATACTGAAGTTTCTATAAGACTTTGAGAATAATCATCTCTCTATAGATAACATCTATAGATAATAAAACAGTTTGTATACTTGAAATTTGCTAAGATAATAGATTCTAAGTGTGCTCACTACATCAAAAACATGGTAAATATATAAGGCAATGAATATGTTAATTAGCTTGATTATAGTCATTATTTCACAATGCATACCTATATCAAATCAAGTTGTACACTTTAAATATACACCATTATTTTTCAAAACTAAAAAATCAGAATTGTATATTCTGAAGTCCTATGCCTGATCTACTGAATTAGAATTTACATCTTAAAATGCAATTGGTATGCACAGCATGGTTTGAAAAATTCTACTTTAAAGAGTGTCAATTGAAGAACCAGCATCCAAACTCAGATTTTAGCTGACTGCCTGAATTTGGCTTCTGCTGCTGTCACTTACTATCTCTGAGGCCATAAATAAGCAGCTTAAATTCCCTGTGGCTCAGCTTCCTATTTGTAAAATGCAACTAATGTTATTATATGTATCTCAGTGTCATTTCAGTGACAAATGAGTTTGTGTGTGCATGTGTGTGTGTGTGTGTGTGTGTATATACACATTATATATATATAATATATATAACTCATGTATACAATATTTGGAACAGCACTTAATATATGCTATGACATAATAAATACTCAATATATTATCATTACTATTACTATTTAAATATATAGAATCTTTATTTTTAAAATGTGACTGGCAAGCCAATTGGCTTAGGTCAATTAGCAAATTATTGGCTAATTAATAACAATGCTTCAGAAGAAAGGTGCTAGTAGATTCAACTCTAAATCAAAGCCTTTATTTTAACTATAATCAACCAGCATAGGAATTAGAGATGATTTTTTTCAAAGTCTTATAGAAACTTTACTGTTAGCTTTTTCAAAAGTTTTTATCTGAATTAAAATGGCTAAGCAATAAGATTCCAAAACTTTTCTTAATTGATTTGACAAGTGAGAATATTTCAAAAGTGTCTACTTCCATCAGCCATAATCACTACTGTTCTGGAATGTGTTCAGGTCTAATATCACTTTGACTGACAGTGAAATGGCCCCTACCTGAATTAGAACTCCTGAGGAGAAATGCCTCCAAAAAAGCTACTGCTCTCAGGAATGTCTAGATGACACATGTTTAGTTTAGTTATAGGTTAAAGGTTTCTTCAGGGGCACCTGTGGATAGTTAAAAGGATAAGTAATTCAATCAGAATTCATTTAAAATAGAAACCCATTGACTGGGGATTTGGATAAGTCTTTACATCTGCAGAATGAAAAACAACAAAGAAATACTACTCATTTTATTTTGAAATAAATCAGCTTTAAATCTGGGATTAGTGAGGAATTTACTATATAGAAGAGACAGTACTCACCAGCAGTATTTTCTTAGAACTGTCACTTCCAAATATACAATTTATTTGAATAATGCTCAGGTTGTATTCCTGAAAATGTGAGATTTATTTAAATCAGCAAGATCTGAAGTCTAATATCCCAGAAAAGAAATCTTTTTAGCATGTGTTGATGTTGAGTGTGGAGAAGAGTAGAGTTGAGGAGACAGAGCACTGAAGTACTCTCATAATGGAGTGTCTAGAGTTGTACCTTCCGATGGGATAGGAACCAGTCACATGTGACCATTTAAATTTAAGTTAAAGACCAGGTGTGGTGGCTCACGTCTGTAATGCCAGCATTTTGGGAGGTCAAGGTGGGCAGATCACCTGAGGTCAGGAGTTCGAAACCAGCCTGACCAACAATGTGAAACCCCATCTCTACTAAAAATACAAAAATCAACCAGGCATGGTGGCCGGTGCCTGTAATCTCAGCTACTTGGGAGGCTGAGGCAAGAGACTTGCTTGAACCCGGGAGGCAGAGGTTGCAGTGAGCCAAGATCGCGCCACTGCACTCCAGCCTGGGTGACAAGAGCAAGATTTCACCTCAAAATAAATACATAAGATAAGTTTAAGTTAAAAACTAAAATGAAGTTCAATTTTAAAATGTGTTCCTCAGGCACACTAACCACATTCCAGGGATCAGTAGTCACAGACAGCTAGTGGCTTCATTTTGTGAGGTCATAGAAATATTTCAGTGTTTTCAGAAAGTCCTGTTTCATGGTGCTGCTATAGAATATAGCAAAGACTACAAAGGAACAATCTTAGAATGATTTGGTATGGAATAGCAAAGTTCTCTAACATTTTTAGAATTTAAAAGTGTATCTATTCTTTGTAAAAAGCCGAGTGGCAGAATATTCTTTTAAACAATAAATTCATTGCTTTTCGGTGAGATTTCATGTTCTGTGGCATCTAATGATAGACCTCTTACTTTTTTTTAAACTAAAGACATCTTGAGACTTTGCCAGGGGATTGTTGGGGTTTGCCCATGAACCTTTTGATAAAAATATCACATTCATTGTTACAAGTGATTCAGCAACCCTGAAGTCAGTAGCAGTGCAATATTTTGGCCTTTATTTCTATAATTTGATTCAGATATTTTGTTCTTGTGAAGATAATTCGACACTACTAAAAACAGAATAATCTCATTAGCAAAATAGGTATTGAAATCCAAGTCGATTTAAAAATCACTCACTTAATAATCAAAATAGAACAAAAGTATAGTGAGTATAAGGATAGCTTGTATATCAAGTTACATTTGGACTTAATTTTGGAGCAAACATGTTTTATTTGGAAATTCTGGAAAAGACTAGGATCAGGCAGCTGAGAGAAAATGAGAAGCTCTGTTCCTCCTTTATCTCACTCCGCTCCCATCAGGACACACTGGGAAGCTCTGACATCAAAGCATTATGAAACCACATTTTAAAATCTACCTATTTTTCAAAAACATGAACATTGTGTTTGTATTATAAATTTATGATGTGTCACAAAGTACCTAAGATTTCTTGTTTTTAATAATACACTGTCAGCAGATGCGGTGGCTTGTGCCTGTAATCCCAGCACTTTGGGAGGCCGAGGGGGGCGGATCACCTGAGGTCAGTAGTTCAGGACCAGCCTGGCCAACATGGTGAAACACCATCTCTACTAAAAATACAAAAAATTAGTTGGGAGTGGTGGTGCACACATGTAGTTCCAGCTACTCAGGAGGCTGAGGCAGGAGGATCGCTTGAGCCCCGGAAATGCAGGCTTCAATGAGCTGAGATTGCACCACTGTACTCAAGCCTGAGTGACAGAGCAAGACTCTGTCTCAAAAAATAAATCAATAAGTAAAATAAATAAAAACAATAGTACACTGTCTTCAATAAATGCCACTTTTTAATTTTTAATTTTTTATTATTTTCCACAATTTTGTAGCATTTTATGACAATATATTAGGCATATTAATTGTCATATTTATGGCTGTCACCATCCATGCTATAGAATGCATAATTTCTACTGCAGTGTGATAGTGACTCTATATGTAGCTTTTTACGATTTGCAAAATCCTGTAGGTTAAGATTTTTTCTCTATCAATCAAAAAAATAGTGCGGGCAGGGAGAAACCTATGAAGTCCTCATTTAAAAAGAGAATATTCTCTGTGATCCAAGCCCCTGAAAGTTCTTCAATGAGACTTCTCCATCAGCTAAAAATAGCTGCAAAATAAATGCAAAGAAATATTTTGTGTGGTATTCACACCTTTAGAGTAGAAGTTACATTTTTTCAATAGTTCAAAATAAATATAACAAGGATATAAATGCCCCTTAAAGACTTTCTTTATTCTCAGAATTGTTTTAAAAAAGAACCAGATGAATTAAGCTTTATTATGCTCTTATTTCATTCAGCTAAACTTTACCTCAGATACTGCTGATATTTACTGATACAATTGGCTCTGGTAAGTTTTTTAAAAGGACATAAAACTATATTAGAATTGAATATATCCAGGATAACATCTACTTGGAAAGCTGCCGTAATTGTCTAGAATATCCCTAATTAGGTCAACAGAGAACACAGAAACAAAACTTGGTTCATAAAGTGTCATGTTTTTAGAAGCTCTGACAAAGGCAAGTTATGGTTTTGATGCCTTTCTATCCATGTTTGCATAGTCTGTATACAGCTGCACAAAAGAAGCTCCATGCCAAATATGCTCAAAACAGCCTGTGCCAGAATGAACAGACAATGTCATCACACAAAATGATCCTGTGGGTCAGTGTTCTTTTGTAACTTTAACATTAATCACTGTGTTCTAGAAAAAGAGAGAGAAGAAAAGGAATGGTCATTTTTTTCTGTCATTTCTTATTAAAAATAACATTTCCTCAGGATTGTAACAAAATTCTAGAACAAGACCAAGGTGTTGAGTCTTTTTCTCTTCTGAAAATATAACAGCTCCACCTTGAGGTAAAAGTATTTTATCATAGTTTGAGGTTATATTTGAAGTAGAAGGTTGTATTTGGGATGACTAGTGACCAATAATTCCTCATGGCAAAAGAAACAAATAAAGAGCTCCAAAATTATACAAGGGATATGGAAGCTCATCTTTTGTTCCCACTTTTGGTCAAAAACAGCAGGTATTAGTTACCTAAGAAGGATAAACGACTGTAATCTTAATGGTCATTTTCAGACTGGAATTTCATGTGGTCAAACCTGTGTTGATGAAATTTTATTTGAAGTTGTCAAAAAGCAAACTAGAACTTTAAAAATAGATTTACTCCTCTGGTATCCACTGGTATATAAATTTCTGCCAAGAAAATACACAAATGGAACTTTCTCTTGATAGAACCTACCACTTATATCTTACTGTTGGCAAAATGTTTCTGTGCTTGCATGTAAGATAAATAGTGAAAGATAATATTCTATATACCACTTGCTTTCTGAAGCTGAGCCTTAGGTTGATCTTTTCTTGTTTTTCTTTTTGACTCACCTTTCAAGGGTCGAACTTGAAGCTGCAGCAGAAGAAGATATGGAAAAACTAAAATCTTCCTCAAGCAAATATTAGAGTAATTGTCATTATCTCACCATGCTCTTTTCCTGGTTATAAATATGCTAGAAAACATTCTTACTGTAATTTTAATAAAGTATTTCTCTATGTTTTCTTCTGATTATTTTTATTATTTTATATGTTATTTGACTATGTAGTCAACTTAGAATTTTTGTGCATGTGTGTAAAAGTGACATTGCAAGCTAATTTTCTATATGAATAAAAACTGTCTCCATGCTGCTTATTTGGTCATTACAGGTACAGGAAAGTCATTTTTTAATGTTGATCTTGTATTACTGAGCCCTCTTATTAATTTCAATGGTTTTTCAGTAGATTCTTCTAAGTTTTTAAGTAGATGGCCATATCATCTAAAATAATGCTGCCTCTCTTGACTCAATATTGGTAATTGCTTTTATCTAGAAAAATCATGCAATTATTATAGACCGTAGTGAATTTTATAATTCCTTTACTGTTTTTATATTCCCATTATATATTAACATTTAGAATTTAACTTTATTTTTTAGTCTCAGGTTAGTTTCACAAGGAGATACAAGTGCCACAGACCCACTTTATGGGATTAGTGTCCACCAGCACAGGGGACACTGTGGCAGCCTTTGAGTGAATTAGCTGAGTGGCACTTAGTTTGCAACACACCGAATATAGCATCTGATCACAGTTCAAGACATTTGAGAGGGAAGAAACAAAGGGAGATGGGGAGAAGAATCTAAGTAAGATGTTAGCAGTAGCACTCACTTTCATATTCACCAACTGAAGGCTAAGGAAAGCAGCTGGATGCCGAGGCATTAGGAAAAACGTTCGCCTAAGAATGTGCCTGCTATTCAGCTATTAAATTCCATTAAAATGTCCTCATTCTGTGGTCCATCCTTAACATCTTCTTCCAACAGCTGCAGATGCTCCCTCAGAGCTTGGGTGGGTCGGAAATATATACAGGAAAACATAAAAAATATTTTGGATGTATATTCTCAAAATAGGTGAGGAGGGAATATTTAAATAAACATGGTAAATGTGCTATAATAATTAATAAAACGTATTTGTTTGGTATTGAAATCAATTGTCCTCCAATATATTGGGATATAAAATGCATTTAAAAATATGGTACATTCAGTAGGAATAAACACATACTTTTTTAAAATTTAGAAGCCCTTTTCATACACATTTTTAACAATCACCTCATAATGATGATACTACCTGAAAATTGAAAATAAGAACCGTAAATTTTGGATTTAAAAGTGATAGACAAACCCCTATAATTCGTGGTTTCTTTAAACAGAAAGAATGTAAAGTATCAGTAAATACTAGTTATTTTTATAGATGAAAAATTAGCGCAGCTCCAGGGAAGAAACCCTTGGGTCTCAGGTTTTCTAGATGCAAAAGAGAGATAATAAGTACACCTGCAAGGTCACAATAACTGTGAAGTGATTAAAGACCCTGGGCTGAAAGACGCTTTTAAGAAAAGCACGTGTCAAAGCTCACAATGTAACAAGGGGTCCATGAGTATTTGACGGAAATGTACACACTTCATCTTTTTGCTTGATGTCCAATTAATATGTTTTATTAAACCTGAAGTAAATTTGCCCTTAAGGAAAAATTCCTGAAAGTGCTCTTTTACTATTTGTTAGCTCCAAAATAAACAGATCTCCAAGCCCCTTCCCTGAAATTCAGTAACTACTTGGGTGGCATTTGTATATTAAAGGAGAAAGCAATACAAGTTTTGCACTTTCCATATGGAGCTGGAATCACACAGGATATTTAACCTATATATTTTATCTTAAGTACATGAGTGTCTTTTTAAGGAGATTAAGGGATGAGGAGACATATCAGAGCAAACCATAGGAGACAAGTTGGCCCTCCCACTTCCTGCCTTAGTTAACAGAACATGTAGTATCAGGGTGAGGAAGAACAGGCAGGGATTAACGAGTTCCAGGAAACATGTATCATCATGCAAAAGAAAAGAATTGGCGGCGTTTCTAGGGCAATCCAGCAATTCCCCCAGCTCCTTGGCTAGATTCAGCACGCTGCTACTACTACTTCCCCTCCTCCATCTGAGGTGAGGCCAAGTTCTTAAACTCCTGGGTCACTATCTCCCTGACCGAATCATCCCAGAACCAGGCATCAGACAACTAGAGTCAGTCCCTAAATCTCAGAGCTCACAGAAATTATTTACACTAACCGTTTCTAAACCTACTTAGCCTGCTTATCCTGTCGTCTTTGTCTGTTTTGTGCTGCTACAACAGAATGCCTGAGACTAGATAACTTAAAAGAAAACAAACAAACATTATTTGGCTCACAGTTCTGGAGGCTGGGATATCCAATAGCATGGCACCAGCATCCAGCAAAGGCCTTTGCAGTGCATTATCCTATGGTGGAAGGTGAAAGAGCAACAGAGAGCAAGAAAGAGATTGAATCTGTAGCCTCGAGCCCTTTTAAAATTGTCATTAATCCGTTCATGAGGGTAGAGCCCTCATGACCTACACACCTCACATTAGATTCCATCTCTCAACACTGTTGGATTGGGAATTAAGTTCCCAATACATGCTTTTTTCACACATTCAAACCATAGCATCTGCCTTGCTCATTCCTTCCCACAAAAGAAAAAATAAAAATAAAGGCTGTTGCTCACATTCCCCCAACCCCCAACTCCTTCTGCCTCCTCACCCCTGCTGGCGGTTCCCTGTGTTGCAATGTGTGGCATGATGCGCTCCTTCCTCTTGTGTAACAAACTCACTTTTCAGTGACAACCATGTCTTGATCTGTTGGCTTCATCATACCTGAATAATAATAATAAAACTTGCATTTTAAAACACCTTGCCCCGCCCTACTCAGCCTGCTGAAAACCCAAGCACATGAATCCTTCTTTTGCTGAGAACAACCTATTTTTTATGCCTATTTTGCCTGATGTACTCTTACTACTTCTTCCTAATCCACCAAAAATACAGCTGTGCTTCAACACCATTCCTTACTTCTCTGGAAGAGTAGAAACTCTCTTTTGAACCCCCGAAGTACAATATTAATGCCTTAATGATAACATTTAGCACATTGCATTATATTTGTTTAGTTCTATAATGTTTTTGGGTCTTAATAACATTGTGTTATTTGATTTTGGTATTCCTAGTGTCAGAACCTGTCCTGGCTATGGATAGTGTTCAATAAACATTTACTGCACGATATCGTTTTTAACAAATAAAAGTTTTCTTCACCATGGGTACTGAAAATGATATCTTCCTTTTCCAACCTCATTATTTATATAATTCATTTGCCAGTTGCTCCCTACAATGGGCAATGTCTGATGTGTATATCCTAGATCCCAAACTAGATCATAAATTGCCTTCTGTGTATTCTTGTATGCTTAGTGTTGAGACCAATGTTTACATATGGTAATTGTCAGGCCTCTGAGCCCAAGCTAAGCCATCATATCCCCTGCGGCCTGCACATACACAACCAGATGGCCAGTTCCTGCCTTAACTGATGACATTCCACCACAAAAGAAGTGAAAATGGCCTGTTCCTGCCTTAACTGATGACATTGTCTTGTGAAGTTCCTTATCCTGCCTCATCCTGGCTCAAAAGCTCCCCTACTGAGCACCTTGTGACCCCCACTCTGCCTGCCAGAGAACAACCCCCCTTTGACTGTAATTTTCCTTTACCTACCCAAATCCTATAAAATGGCCCAACCCCATCTCCCTTCGCTGACTCTCTTTTCGGACTCAGCCCACCTGCACCCAGGTGATTAAAAGCTTTATTGCTCACACAAAGCCTGTTAGGTTGTCTCTTCACAGGGACGCGCATGAAATTCGGTGCCGTGACTCAGATCGGGGGACCTCCCTTGGGAGATCAATCCCCTGTCCTCCTGCTCTTTGCTCCATGAAAAAGATCCACCTACGATCTCAGGTCCTCAGACCCACCAGCCCAAGGAACATCTCACCAATTTTAAATCAGGTAAGCGACCTCTTCGTACTCTCTTCTCCAACCTCTCTCACTGTCCCTCAACCACTTTCTCCTTTCCACTCTTCAATCTCTCCCTTCTCTTAATTTCAATTCCTTTCATTTTCTGGTAGAGACAAAGGAGACACGTTTTATCTGTGGACCCAAAACTCCGGTGTCGGTCACGGACTAGGGAAGGCAGCCTTCCCTTGGTGTTTAATTATTGCAGGGATGCCTCTCTGATTATTCAACCATGTTTCAGAGGTGTCAGACCACACAGGGACGCCTGCCTTTGTCCTTCACCCTTAGCGGCAAGTCTCGCTTTTCTGGGGAAGGGGCAAGTACCCCAACCCCTTCTCTCCATGTCTCTACCCCTTCTCTACCTTTCCGGGGGGCAAGAAACCCCCAAACCCTTCTCCTTCACTCTTAGCGGCAAGTCCTGCTTTTCCAGAGGAGGGGTAAGTACCCCAACCTTGTTTCTCTGTGCCCCAATCCCTTATTTCCGTGCCCCAACCTCTTATATCTCTGTGCCCCAATCGCTTATTTTTGCACCCTGACCTCTTATCTCTGCACCCCAATCCCTTATTTCTGTGCCCCAACCTCTTATCTCTGCACCCCGATCCCTTATTTCCATGCCCCGACCTCTTATCTCTGCGCCCCATCCCTTGTTTCCACGTCCCGACCTCTTATCTCTGCGCCCCAATCCCTTATATCCATGCCCCAACCCCTTTCCCGCTTTTCTAGAAGGTAAGAACCCCCGAACCCCTTCCCTCCATGTCTCTACTCTCTCTTTTCTCTGGGCTTGCTTCCTTCACTATAGGCAAACTTCCACCCTCCATTCCTCCTTCTTCTCCTTTGGCCTGTGTTCTCAAAAACTTAAAACCTCTTCAATTCACACCTGACCTAAAACCTAAGTGCCTTATTTTCTTCTGCAATGCCACTTGACCCCAATACAAACTCGACAGTAGTTCCAAATAGCCAGAAAACGGCACTTTCAATTTTTCCATCCTGCAAGATCTAAATAATTCTTGTCATAAAATGGGCAAACAGTCTGAGGTGCCTGACGTCCAGGCATTCTTTTACATATCGGTCCCTCCCTAGTCTCTGTGCCCAGTGCAACTCGTCCCAAATCTTCCTTCTTTCCCTCCCGCCTGTCCCCTCAGTCCCAACCCCAAGTGTCGCTGAGTCTTTCTAATCTTCCTTTTCTACAGACCCATCTGACCTCTCCCCTCCTCCCAGGCTGCTCCTCGCCAGGCCGAGCTAGTTCCCAATTCTTCCTCAGCCTCTGCTCCTCCACCCTATAATCCTTTTATTACCTCCCCTCCTCACACCGGGTCTGGCTTACAGTTTCATTCCGTGACTAGCCCTCCCCCACCTGCCCAGCAATTTACTCTTAAAAAGGTGGCTGGAGCTAAAGGCATAGTCAAGGTTAATGCTCCTTTTTCTTTATCCCAAATCAGATAGCGTTTAGGCTCTTTTTCATCAAATATAAAAATCCAGCCCAGTTCATGACTTGTTTGGCAGCAACCCTGAGACACTTTACAGCCCTAGACCCTAAAAGGTCAAAAGGCCGTCTTATTCTCAAAATACATTTTATTACCCAATCTGCTCCCGACATTAAATAAAACTCCAAAAATTAAATTCCGGCCCTCAAACCCCACAACAGGATTTAATTAACCTCTCCTTCAAGGTGTACAATAATAGAAAAAAGTTGCAATTCCTTGCCTCCACTGTGAGACAAACCCCAGCCACTTCTCCAGCACACAAGAACTTCCAAACGCCTGAACCGCAGTGGCCAGGTGTTCCTCCAGAACCTCCTCCTGCAGGAGCTTGCTACAAGTGCCAGAAATCTGACCACCAGGCCAAGGAATGCCTGCAGCCCAGGATTCCTCCTAAGCCGTGTCCCATCTGTGCGGGACCCCACTGGAAATCAGACTGTTCAACTCACCTGGCAGCCACTCCCAGAGCCCCTGGAACTCTGGCCCAAGGCTCTCTGACTGACTCCTTCTCTGCTTAGCAGCTGAAGACTGACGCTGCCCGATCACCTCGGAAGCTCCGTAGACCATCACGGACACCGAGCTTCAGGTAACTCTCACAGTGGAAGGTAAGTCCGTCCCCTTAGTCAATACGGAGGCTACCCACTCCACATTACCTTCTTTTCAAGGGCCTGTTTCCCTTGCCTCCATAACTGTTGTGGGTATTGACTGCCAGGCTTCTAAACCCCTGAAAACTCCCCCACTCTGGTGCCAACTTGGACAACACTCTTATGCACTCTTTTTTAGTTATCCCTACCTGCCCAGTTCCCTTATTAGGCTGAGATATTTTAACAAAATTATCTGCTTCCCTGACTATTCCTGGACTACAGCCGCATCTCATTGCCACCCTTCTCCCCAACCCAAAGCCTCCTTCGTGTCTTCCTCTCGTATCCCCCAACCTTAACCCACAAGTATAGGACATCTCTACTCCTTCCCTGGCAACCGATCACAGCCCATTACCATCCCATTAAAACCTAATCACCCTTACCCCACTCAATGCCAATATCCTATCCCACAGCATGCTTTAAAAAGATTAATGCCTGTTATCACTCGCCTGCTACAGCATGGGCTTCTAAAACCTACAAACTCTCCTTACAATTCCCCCATTTTACCTGTCCAAAAACCGGACAAGTCTTACAGATTAGTTTAGGATCTGCACTTTATCAACCAAATTGTTTTGCCTATCCACCCTGTGGTGCCCAACCCGTACACTCTTTTGTCCTCAATACCTTCTTTCACAACTTACTATTCTGTTCTCGTTCTTAAAGATGCTTTTTTCACTATTCCCCTGCACTCCTCGTCCCAGCCTCTCTTTGCTTTCACTTAGACTGACCCTGACACCCATTAGGCTCAGCAAATTACCTGGGCTGTACTGTCGCAAGTCTTCACAGATAGCTCCCATTACTTCAGTTAAGCCCAAATTTCATCTTCATCTGTTACCTATCTTGGCATACCTCATAAAAACACACGTGCTGTCCCTGCTGATCATGTCCAGTTAATCTCCCAAACCTCAATCACTTACAAAACAACAACTCCTTTCCTTCCTAGGCATGGTTAGTGTTGTCAGAATTCTTACACAAGAGCCAGGACCACACCCTGTAGCCTTTCTGTCCAAACAACTTGACCTTACTGTTTTAGCCTAGCCCTCATGTCTGCCCGCAGCGGCTGCCACTGCTTTAATACTTTTAGAGGCCCTAAAAATCACAAACTATGCTCAACTCACTCTCTACAGCTCTCATAAATTCCAAAATCTATTTTCTTACTCACACCTGATGCATATACTGTCTGCTCCCCGGCTCCTTCAGCTGTACTCACTCTTTGTTAAGTGTCCACAATTACCATTGTTCCTGCCCCGGACTTCAGTCCGGCCTCCCACATTATTCCAGATACCACACCTGACCCTCATGACTGCATCTCTCTGATCCACCTGACGTTCATCCCATTTCCCCACATTTCCTTCTTCCCTGTTTCTCACCCTGATCACACTTAGTTTATTGATGGCGGTTCCACCAGGCCTAATCGCCACACACCAGCAAAGGCAGGCTATGCTATAGTACAAGCCACTAGCCCGCCTCTTAGAACCTCTCATTTCCTTTCCATCATGGAAATCTATCCTCAAAGAAATCACTTCTCAGTGTTCCATCTGCTATTCTACTACTCCTCAGGGATTATTCAGGCCCCCTCCCTTCCCTACACATCAAGCTCAAGGATTTGCCCCCACACAGGACTGGCAAATTAGCTTTACTCAACATACCCGGAGTAAGATAACTAAAATACCTCTTAGTCTAGGTAGACACTTTCACTGGATAAGTAGAGTCCTTTCCTACAGGGTCTGAGAAGGCCACTGCAGTCATTTCTTCCCTTCTGTCAGACATAACTCTCCAGTTTAGCCTTGTCATTCCCTTCTGCCAGACTTAATTCCTCAGTTTAGCCTTCCCACCAATATACAGTCTGATAACAGACCAGCCTTTATTAGTCAAATCAGCCAAGCATTTTTTCAGGCTCTTAGTATTCAGTGACAGACTAATATTCTATTAAAAACACACCTCACCAAGCTCAGCCACCAACTTAAAAAGGACTGGACAATACTTTTACCACTTTCGCTTATCAGAATTCAGGCCTGTCCTCGGAATGCTACAAGATACAGCCCATTTAAGCTCCTGTATAGACACTCCTTTTTATTAGGCCCTAGTCTCATTCCAGACACCAGACCAACTTAGACTGTGCCCCAAAAAACTTGTCATCCCTACTATCTTCTGTCTAGTCATACTCCTATTCACCATTCTCAACTACTCATACATGCCCTGCTTTTGTTTACACTGCCAGTTTACACTGTTTCTCCAAGCCATCACAGCTGATATCTCCTGGTACTATCCCCAAACCGCCACTCTTAACTCTTAAAGTAAATAAATAATCATTGCTGGCAAGGCTATGCTGAACCTCCTTAGGCATTCTCTAATTAGATGTCCTAGGTCCTCCCAATTCTTAGTCCTTTAATATCTGTTTTTCTCCTTCTCTTATTCCGTTTGGTTTTTCAATTCATACAAAACTGTATCCAGGCCATCACCAATAATTCTAAATGACAAATGTTTCTTCTAACAACCCCACAATATCAACCCTTACCACA
Organism: Homo sapiens; assembly: GCF_000001405.40. NCBI lineage: Eukaryota > Metazoa > Chordata > Mammalia > Primates > Hominidae > Homo > Homo sapiens. The sequence continues at coordinate 156,104,101 of NC_000004.12, read as the reverse complement.
AAATCTTCCTTCAGCTTAATCGCTCCCACTTTAGGTTCCCACGCTGCCCCTAATCCCGCTCGAAGCAGCCCTGAGAAACATCACCCATTATCTCTCCATATCACCCCCAAAAATTTTCGCTGTCCCAACCCTTTACCACTATATCGTTTTATTTTTCTTATTAATATAAGAAGACAGTAATAGCTGATTGAATGCTGGCTTAATTTAGATATACCTGGTAATCCAACTCTATTCAAATTCTTTTAAAATAGAACAAGAAATAAGCAAGCAAACACTCTAAAAAAAAGTCTTCAGTATAAAACCCTTGACAATATATACAAAGGATTATTACATCATGATTCTTGGTGTCTTAAGGCATAGTTCAAACTCCTGGTTCTTAAGTGTAAGCTGTGCTGCATGAATGTTAACTAAGCCACTATCAAAATATACAGAATAATATAATTGTCTATTACAGAAAATGCGAAAGTTAGCATAAACATAAGTAAATCATAGTGTCTTATTTAGAAATTCTATGTCTACAAAGTCCCTACAACTTGTGCAAGAAAAGGAATCTTCTTAGAGAATTTATTACTATCTCATGGAATTCAAGGACAAGAGCAATAGTTGGACTGAAACCAAGACACAGAATATTGTCAGAAATCATAGGACTGCTCATTTACATTCTCTCTCTCTCTCTCTCTCCACCCTCCATTCTCATTCTCTCTTTCTCTCTGGCTTTCTCTCTCTCATCTCTTGATCTTTTTTTTTAATCTCATCACTTCATTCTTGTTTCTTTCTTCTGACAGCCACTCTTTTTCATCAACATTTCTGGTTCTATAATGCCACTCTGGCCCCAGCACCATTCAGTGTGCAATGTACATCCACTTTGCTTTTGTGTCTCCTCATCAGTTTCCAGGGAAAAGTCTGGGTTAGACATAGTCATGGGTTTCTCAGAGGGATACCCAGCATATTTAGGGTACAAATCCGGACTTTCCTTCTGCATTTGAGGCAGGACTAATTTTCAAAAGTCACAACTCTGGAGTCACCTTTGATTTCTTTTATGTTTTTTTTAATACTTCTATCAGGATGTTCTAAATATATGTACAATAATTTCATAAAAATGATATTAGATTCACCTTAGTACAAAGTTATGATCTATGACCCATGGCTGCTGAATAAAATTCATATTTCACATTATGCCTGCCCCTTCAAGGCCTCATTTTAGGGTAAATGTTTTTTGAATTTTGTTTTACCCTAACTCATGATTTTGCTACCTATCACTTTTGGTAAACTGCATGGGCTTCACTTCAGAACCATCACAAAGTCCTCCTTTTAAAAAAATAGTTCTTTCACTGAATGAAAAATACAATGAGCCAAAATGCAACACTCTTGGAGACAGTATTCCAGTGGTTTTCACCAGGAATGTGGTCTTTTGTGATTCTCTAAATTCCTAAGTTGTCTCCATTATTTAAAAAGAAAAAAAGGGATTTGATAAATGGTAAGATGATTTTATAAGATAAACATGGAAAATGAATAATTGAATAATTGTTACTTGACAGCAGGAAACCAACAGTATTAAAAGGAAATGGACCATCATAATTGTTTCAAGTGCCTAAATTAGAATGTCAACCATCTAGATTGAAGACCAAATTATTTCCTTAGTCCAGATCAAGGATAGAGATAACATGACTTACCCATTGGAAGGCTCTACTATTTTCTACTGGAGAAAAAAAATGTTTTAAATGGATAATTTCTTATAAGTCTTAAAATATTCATTTGTTTTAGTTTCATTGTACAACAGAGATATCTCTTGCCAAATATATCTTTAACCACCGAGAATGAAATGAGCTTAACCCTTAATTTGTTTGTCTATAGTAGAAAAAAATACAAACATGGTATTGCAGTGCATTCATCTTTCTTTTGTCTAAAACAGAGAGTACAGAGGACTGAGTGCATACTTGGTCAGAAATCTTTTTTTAGCCAACACTTCTAAGGTATCCTATCTTTTACTGTGCAAAAACCTATTATTAAACTAAAACAGTGTTCAGTTTAAAGGTAAACCCACTAAGATGTTTATAAACTGTCTTCTAATTATTGAAAGACTGAAATGATATATTTAAATATAATTTTGAATTAAAAAACAAGTCTCCATGCTTACTTCAATAAGACATATCTATATGTCATGATATAATCCATTTTACAGTTTGATAGGGTATAGTAATGAAAACTTACTTTAATTCCATACAGCTGAATTATCTCACATAAATTTGTGAGTTGAACAGATGTTTTTGCTGGCACATTTAGATAGTTTCTCTGAACATTCTCCTCTGCTGATGAGTTGCTGTCTCCGTTACAAGGAATGCCTTAAACATAATTGTAGTACAGCTGTAGACATAAATGGTTTTGATGGTGTTTAAGCTGCATAATATTTTAAGTGGCTTTTCAAGCCTCAATCAAGATGGTTTTAAGTCATTAAGTCTATGCTTTTGCAGCTGATGATTTGTGTCTTAGAGATAATATTCAGTGGCTACCATATTGTCCTTTTAGAATATGTAAACTTTTGTATCACGGTGTAATTTTTTTACTACTGAAAACAAGAAATTTGAGAGTTCTTGAATTCAAAATGAGTACCAAAGCATATTTCTAAGATGATCTCAGACTGCAGTAGAACTAATTAATTATGTCTAAATGTTCCAACTTAGAGCACCATTTCTTAATTTTCTCAATCCAAGGATATCTGCCTACAGGACTCAGGAACCTAGAGCTGCTCTCACATTTACCACCTTTGGGCAAACACACAAAAATTTCTGCTGAACACTCTTTGACATTTTCCTTGTCCTTTTAATGCAGAGCAAGGACAGGGGTCAGAGAACAGTGAGGATGCGGAGGACACAGACGTTCACTAGACAGAGCACAGGTGACTTATTTCAGTGAGACTTGAGTTTACTTTTCTTCACTTCTCATTCTGTTAGTAAATTTTTAAAGAAATAACATAATGTTGAGAGATCTGGGCAGAATGCTTTTTTATTTTTAATTTTTATGAGTATATAATAGTTGTACATATTTATGGGGTACATGTGATATTTTGATACAAGCATACAATGTGTAGTGATCAAATCAGGGTAATTTGGATATTTATGACCTCAAACATTTATCATTTCTTTGTGTTGGGAACATTTCAAATACAGATTGTTTGATTACTCATCCAGCCACAGCTGTGGCACAGTTAGTATTAGTGAATACTAATATCCCAGTCTCTAGACATTCTTACTGGTGGATTTCCAAAAATAACAAGTTACTTGAGAAATGCTATCTCATTAATAAGTATAATCAACTTACTGTTTTCACATTTTCCTCAAGTCCATAATACAGGAGGATCTGGAATTTTCTCATGGCAAACTTGATAATCACTTTGCAAAAAAGAAAGACAAATAGAGAAAATGTAGGTAATATAGCACACTGCTCTTTTCTATGATTATTTTTAGACCAATTGAAAAAAAAAACAAACCTTAAAGCCAACAGGGAACAATGCCTAATTTTTCAGTACTCTGAGGCATGCATATATATATATATATATATATACACACACACACACACACACACACACACACGTGCAAGCACACACACAAATATATATGTGTGTGTATATATATATGTGTGTGTGTGTTGGGATTTCATTCTCTCACTTAATTCTCTAAAAAGAAGAAAAGTTTATTGTAAATAAAAGAGGCAAGGGTGTAATTAATGTTTGGAATAAATATTGATTCACCCTAGAGAAATTGAAATAATTTAAAAATAAGTCTCATCTCCTCCTACATAAAACACTGAAACCTGTTTGAGATCCATCTGGTGTGTTAGTAAGTGAACAGATTTTGGAGCAGAAAAGCCTGAGTGAGACACTGCTCTTTATTTTCTGGTATTAATATTCTGGAATCTTTACCCGATTTCTTACTGCCCACGTTTCCTCATGTACAGAATGACAGGAATCACGCAGATGTGGCAGAGTCTTTGGGTTAATTCAATGAACTAATACATGTGAAGCACCTGCTCAGGTACCAGCACAGTTGATAACTATTAATTCTCCTTCCCTAGTTTTTTGTTTGTTTTTGAGGCCTAAGTAGAGGGCATTCTTTGAAGTTTGCTGGTGTGGAAGAAATCAGGATTATTAATTCAGAAACCTAAATGTGTCAAAATATAATAATAGGGACCTATAATCTGCTAATGATTAAGAATTAGGGAACTTTGTTACAATAAAGTCTATGAAAAATCATTCTTCCAGTTAAGAAAGTATATATTCTCTTCAATATTATATGTAATAATTTGAAATTTGCCTTTTCCAAGCATGAAAATTAGAGAATAGACATTGGTCCTTCAGATGAAGTTGAGATGGAATTTGAAGCTAATTAATACCCATATTCCCAAGAAGGCATGCATCAGGTTGTCAGAGAGCTTATTCTAATCTTGTATTGGTAATGTTGACAGCTACTAAATTCAGATCATTATTTTGTGGCCCAGGGCAAGTAATTTTATATTCTCATAAATGTTTACCTTGATATGACACATTTCTGTCAGCACATATTTAGAAATGGTAAGAGCCAGGAGCACATATGAAGTTTTATTCAAAACAAGTAATTTTCTTCTTCTCAAAACAGAATCCCATGGTAAACAAAAAATTATATTTTTTAATTTTAAGAAAATGTGAGGATGATTTTAATAAAATTAAAATACAAATCTTACAGGAATTCTAACCAGAAGAACTGTGTTTAAAGTCAATATAAGAAGGCTTCATATACAACATGTCTCTTTTTACTTCTTCTCCTAGAATTTGTTTAAAAATAGAGAGAAATATGTATTTTGAAGCCACAAACTCAGCAAAACTAAGAGAAGTAACAATTTTCAAACTTAAACATATATGGGAAAGTTTGTAAAAACAGGTAAGATGGAACAGAAGGGACTGGAAAAAACAAAGAAAAAATAATGTGGACAGTAGCTCAAGTTAGCAGATCTCAGTACGTGCAAGGAAAATATTCATTTCTTGCAAGCGAATGGTTTGTCCTACAGGACTGAGTCATAGCTATTCTTTGCAACAATGAGGGGAGGAACAACTGGGTCAGAAGGACTGGATGAAGTCTTCGAGACACAGCTTTTATTCAAAAAGGCAAATTAGGCTGTATGGAGAGATACCAAGAGCCACTTCCCTAGGAAGCTGACAGCAGTTGAAAGTCCACCTTTAGACTGTGAAGCTTGGATGGCTACACCGGCCCCACACTTGCCATGGGATTCCCTTCCTGGTGGCTGGTCCTGGTGCATCAATAGAAATGCATCTATTGATGAATTTAAAAGTATCATCTCATGTACCATTCAAAAAATATACCAAAGGGGGAAAAACTGGAAGAAGCAGAAAAATTAGCAATTGATGAACACTTACTGAAAAAATATTGCCACGGAAGAGTTAAAATACTACAGCCAAATATTTTGCTATGTATTAAAACATCTTAATGAATTAATCACCTTTATTAAAGAAAATCACTGATCAGAAACACAGGAACTTCAGAAATTTATGTCAAGATAACAGGAGGAGATGAAATGTGAGCAGGTGGTCTCAAGAAAAAAATATTGAAAAAATTCTAACAAGAAGAAAGTTGATACTACAAGAACACAAAGCAGAATACATTTTGTAAAAAAAAAAATCACACTAAAGGGCATTGAGTCTAGAAATAAGAATAACAAGAAGAAATGGAAAAGAGAATCTTTAGAAAGAGAATCAAATATGTAAAAGACAGGCAAAAGAAACCCAACATTAATGTAATTTAAGCCCCAAAACGAACACAGCAGTGGAATAGAACAAAAACACTGAGAGGTGGTATTATTTACCACAATTGGGTGGTAATAGAGAGAGGAAGAGAAAGGATGAAAAGGAAATATGCTATTTTAATATTGTTCATAGTTGGGAACTGGTAGAGATTATCTTTAAAAACTTGATAATATGAGGAAAGGTATAATTATTAAGAACAATAATAAAAAGAATCAAAACCTTTCAAAAAAGAATCAAAACATTTCAAGATAAAAGAAAACACATACACACAAAAAACACAGAGCAACGAAATAGACTACAAAGCAAAATTAATAACCATAAGGAGAAAAGAAAATAATTTAAAAGTCAGACTAAATATGATTTGTAGTAATAAATATAGATAACTTAATTTTCATATTAAGAAATAGTTTTAGTCTGATGACAAAACAAAACCTAAATCTGCAATGTCACAAGAATCTCATGAAAATTGACTCCATAATTGGCCACAGAAACATCCTAAATAAATCCAAAAAGAAATTGAAAATAGCACAGAAAATACTCCAAATCAAAATGCAATGGAACAAAAACCATTGACAAAATTATAAAAAGAAATGCCTCATCCACCAACAAGTTTAAAAACTCTTTCTTAAACCAATCTTGGGTGAAAGAGAAAATGTAAAGCAAAATATTAGAATATAACAATAATGAAAATATCAAACCCTTTGAGATATAACTAAAATAGTACTTTAATTGAAAAGTTCATGACTTTACATATTTATAGAAATTTAAAACATGAGCACAATTTCTTTTAATAAGCAACTCAAAAAGCTAGTAAAAGGCCAACAAAATAAACTAAAAGAAAGCAAAAGGGAAAGTATTTATAAAATTATAACTATAAATAAACTATAAATATTATAAGAATATTAGAATACATGTATTAGAAAAGAAAAACAGAATTAATAAACAGTAATAAAAAATAAAAAATGCCATTGGCAAACTACTAATCTAATCTAGTATATATTTAGTAATCAAATATATATACTATATATATTTGTGTCTATATACCAACACAGACACACACACACACACACACGAAGACCTGTATAAACTATCCAATTATCTAAGAATGTTCAAAGTTTACTTGAAAAGAGACAAATCTAAATAGGAGACTGATTTCCCCATAAAAGGTAAACAAAATTAAACAATTTGCTTCCATTGCCTAAAAACACCTTGTCTAGATTATCGTAGTACAGGGCAATTCTGCAAAAGCTCTTAAAGTCAGATAATCCTAAAAGCACTTATATTAGTGCAGATCACACATGCAAACTCAAATGATGACATTCACATTCTTTTTACCTGGTTAGTATAATTTCGGCACCAATACCTGCAAAGACCACATAAATGCATATACACACAAATATTAATACATACACATAAAATATAGGTCAAATTGTCCTAAAATATCCATGCAAGATTCCTAAAGCAAATTTACAAAAATAATCCTCACACGTCTTTTAACATGTTATAATCAAGGTTGTTTATTTAAAAATGGTGCAAAATTATTTAACATTTAAAACTTAGAATTCATTTTCAGTAGATAAGAAATTCAACTGATAATTTCAATACATGTTCAAGTCATCTGAAATAACTAAAAATATTGATAATTGTTAAAAAAATACCCAATATGATAAAACAGAATGGTTACTTCCTTAACGAGATATATAATATAGACATATATATAACTATATAGCACTTTAAATTATTTTCAATTCTATAAGGATGCCCCTTATACCTTAATTATGAAATATTATATTGGCATTGTGAGCAATTATTAAAAACATATGCATAAATGCTTTGTCTAAGCTATTCCAATTTTGGAAATGTATACTCAGATATACTTGGATATTAGAGGATAAAAATAATTTGAGGTATAAATATTGGAAAAAATAGGCAAAATTATCACCGTTAGCAGAATATGGCTGAATCCCCAGAAATCTTCAAGTAATTGTGGAAAAGCTATTAAAACAATAAGAAAATCCAGTAAAGTAGCAGTACATGAACATTATTGATGTTCATATAAATATCTGCCTTTAGAAATTATGTCTTTACGCGAGGCGCGGTGGCTCACGCCTGTAATGCCAGCACTTTGGGAGGCCGAGGTGCACGGATCACAAGGTCACTAGATCGAGACCATCCTGGCCAACATGGTGAAACCCTGTCTCTACTAAAATACAAAAAAAAAAAAAAAAAAAAAAAAAAAAAATTGCTGGGCGTGGTGTTGCGCGCCTGTAGTCCCAGCTACTTGGGAGGCTGAGGCAGGGGAATTGCTTGAATCTGGGAGGTGCAGGTTGCAGTGAGCCAAGATCCTTCCACTGAACTCCAGGCTGGCCACAGAGCAAGACTCCGTCTCAAAAAAAAAAAAAAAAAAAGAAAAGAAAAGAAAGAAAGAAATTACTTCTTTAGATGAGAAGATGCGCAAAAGAACATACATGAAAATTAACTTGAATCTGCAAAAACTATGTGGGGAAAAACTTAGATATAAAATTTAATCAGAACCAAAACAAACAAATCCCAAAAAGAATAGAAGGACTGTTCAGCAATCACGAGCATTCAACCTCACATTGATATCAAGTCTCTCAATGTATGCAAAATTTTAATTTGATTCCAATTAAAATACCGATAAAAATTTCTTAACACTGAGCAAATTAATTCTACAGTTCATGTGAAAAGAAAGTAAGCAAGAATAGTTTTTAAAATGTGAAAAAGAAGAGGAATATTATCTGTAGCAGACAACAATGTATATTTTAAATGATCAAAACCAAGCATCAGTGTACGGTACTTCTGATGCATTTCTGGAAAGACAGACCAATTGAAAAAAATTACAAAGGATGGAAATAGACCCAAAAACAAGGTAGAATTTGGAATATGGCAATCAGTTAATCTCAAATTATTAAGAGATGTTGGCTTTTCAATAAATGACTATTTGGGACAACTGGACTGGCATTTGGAAAACAATGAAACTGGAACCATACCTCCCACAGTGCATCAGAATAAACTCCACATGAATTAAAGATTTAAATGTAAATAATAACTGACTTATAACCTTGTGTACAGTAGTAGTTACTAAATATGACTTATAATCTAGATGATATCATCTAAATGAAAACCAAAACACCAAACAGGCCGGGTGCAGTGGCTCATGCCTGTAATGCCAGCACTTTGGGAGGCCGAGGTGGGTGGATCACGAGGTCAAGAGATCGAGACCATTCTGGCCAACATGGTGAAACCCCTTCTCTACTAAAAATACAAAAATTAGCTGGGCATAATGGTGCGTGCCTGTAGTCCCAGCTACTCAGGAGGCTGAGGTAGGAGAATCGCTTGAACCTGGGAGGCAGTGAGCTGAGATCACGCCACTGCACTCCAGCCTGGCGACAGAGTGAGACTCCGTCAAAAAAAAAAAACAAAAACCCACAAAACAAAGCATCTTCAACTGTTTCGAAAAACACAAGTAAAACTTTAAAATAACTAAAAACAAACTTTAAAATAACTATAAACAAAGACAGTTGACAAACTACACGACTGAAAATAAAAATTTGCAATTTCACAAAAGGTTATTCTAAAATTTAAAGAATGCCTAAAAATTAGTAATAAGAAAAAGTAAAAAAAGTTAGGAAAACATTATAAACTGGCATTCACATGAAAAAAAATACAATGGCTTTTAATCATATGACAAGATGTTCAACTTTATCCATGATAAGAGGAGAGTAAAGAATACACTGAAATTGCATTTTTCTTCTATTGACAAAATACAAAAATTGATCACTGTTGGTTAGCCATAAAAAAGCCAGTATTCTCATACATTTCTGGAATAAATTAGCTGAACTTCTATTGAGGTTAATTTGATAAAGTTTATCAATATACAAATACATATGTATACATATAAATATTCATATACATGCACAGAACTTCCATTTCTGGAGTTTAAACTACAATATACTTGTATATTTGTGAAATGACAATTGTAGAATATTATACATTGAACTAAAAGTGTAGTAACTAGCAAAACACTGGAAATAATATAAATGCTCATTAATAGGAGACTAAATCACAAATTGCTATGCAGTCTTTTAAAAAAAGTAATTCATGTACTGACATGGAATTTTTGCAAAGATAAATTTTAAGTAAAAAAGACAAATGATGAACAATGTGAAGAAGAGAGATGACACAACTGCATAAACTCTGGAAAGGATCGCTAGACACTAAAAGAGTGTTTTCCATGTAGTTAAAGTGGCAACCAGTTTGAAAGTTGGATATGTGGGTGCTAGGTTTGGCTGTGTCCTCACCAAAATCTCACCTTGACTGTAGCTCCCGCAATTCCCACATGTCATGGGAGGGACCCAGTGGGAGGTAGTTGAGTCATGGGGGTGGGTCTTTCCTGTCTGTTCTAGGGACAGTGAATAAGTCTCATGAGATCTGATGGTTTTATAAGGAGGAGTTCCCCTGCACAAGCTCTCTCTTTGCCTGATGCCATGTAAGACATGCCTTTGTTCTTCCCTCGTCTTCTGCCATGATTGTGAGGCCTCCCCAGCCACATGGAACCCTGAGTCCATTAAACCTCTGTTTCTTTATAAATTACCCAGTCTTGTGTATGTCTTTATCAGCAGCGTGAGAACAGACTAATACAGGGGTAATAGGAAAGGTGAGAGATTTTTCACTGTTGTTAGACCATTCTTACATTACTATAAATAAATAGCTACATTACTATAAATAAATAGGTTATTTATAGAGAAGTTTGCTTGGCTCACGGTTCTGCAGGCTGTACAAGAAACATGGTGCAAGCATCTGTTTCTAGGAGGACCTCAGGAAGCTTCTAATCGTAGTGAAAGGCAAAGTGAGAGCAAATGTGTCTCATGCCAAGAGAGATAGTCACAGAGAGAGGGGAGGTGCCACACACTTTTAAACAAGGGGATAGTGCTAAACCATTCATGAGGGTTCCACCCCCATAAGCTAATCACCTCCTAGCAGGCCATACCTCCAACACTGGGGTTATGTTTCAGCAAGAGATTTGAAGGGGACAAACATCCAAACCATATGAACTGTATTTGTTTATATATTTGTATTCTTGAACTTTCTGAATGGATTGCCTTTTATTATAAATGTATTATTAGTTATATTAATTAATATATTTAATTAGTTAATTAATATTAGATATATTATTATTTATTTACATCTTATATTTGCAGTGATTCATGGTGACCACATCAAAGCATACTTTAAGTATTATGCATATTACCTATTTAAATGTAGTAAGTTTTATAGACAGTTTTCATCTTTAATTTCAGTCGTTCCACTTTAAATTTCACTTTAAAAATCCTGAAAGCATTAGCCACACATATGTGGCTATTTTCACATATATGATTCTTTGTACATTGAAATTCCTAAGCACACCATAGCTACAAGATCTCACCCAGGCTTCTTGGCACAAAAATCCATGTTAATTATTAGAAATAATTTCAGAGGGATAAATGGATACCTTTAAAAAATAATATTGTAATTTAATTTACACTGAAACATAGATATTGCTTTCAGATTAAGTATCCATAAAAATATTCATCAATATAAAAATTGAACCTATTTAAATTAATTATGAATAATTTTGTTCTTCACTCATTATTCGATATCCATAGTTTCCTATATTAATGTCACTTCCTTTCTAAGATGAGGACATTAAGATAATGAGAAGACATGGTAATCAATTTTGTACATAAGTTGAGAACTTAGATAAGCCTTAAAAGCCAGATTCCTCACAGCATCTCTAAGGTCTGAGTTGTCCAACCTCCTTGCCCTATGCCATCCAACTACCTCCCTGACACCATATCCTTTTTCTCTGTATGGTTCACTGGGCTCTGTGCTCACTAGCTGATATGATCTAACTGTGTCCCCACCCAAATCTCATCTTCAGTTGTAGCTCCCATAATCCCCATGTGTTGTGGGAGGGATGCAGTGGGAAGTAATTGGATCACGGAGGTGGGTTTTTCCCATGTTGTTCTCATCATAGTAAATAAGTCTCATGAGACCTGATAGTTTTATAAGGAGCAGTTCCCCTGCTCATGCTCTCTTGCCTGCCGCCATGTAAGTCATGACTTTGCTCCTCCCTTGCCTTCTGCCATGATTGTGAGGCCTCCCCAGCCATGTGGAACCATGAGTCCATTAAACCTCTTTTTCTTTATAAATTACCCATTCTTGGGTATTTCTTCATAGCAGTATGAAAATGGACTAATACACTAGCCTCCTCAGCTTCCCTCTAATATAGCAAGCAGGCTTCTACCACAGGACCTTTGTATCTGCTGTTCTGCTGGCTAGAATGGTCGTCCCAATATCCTGAAGGCTCACATTCTTATCACCTTCAGGTTTTGGTTGAAATGTGATTTTCTTCATGAGGCCTTACTTAATAACCTTATTTAAAAGTGACCACCCTCCTCATCCTCCACACCCACACAGGCACTTCCTATGCATCTTTTTTGTTCCCTTCCCTTCCCTTCATTAACAGTTATCACCAGTTAACATATTTTTAATTTAATATATGTATTTGTTTAATCACCTATAATGCTGGGATTGTATCCTTTCTATACTCTGCTTTATCCTAGAACTTTTAATTTTCCTGGAATGTAGGAGGCATTCAATAAAGACTGGGTGAATAGACAAATCAGACAATAGACAAACTGAATGCTTCGACCAGAGCATCCTCATGAAAGTGCTATTTTCTGTTGGATATATTCTCAATGCTGTATAATCAATTATTTTGAAAATATATTCATATTTTACAAGTAAATATCTATATCAATGTTTATATTTCCTGTTTAATTTCATTCATTAATTGCATTACATTTCTGCTAAATTTAAAGCCAATAATTAAAATAATACTAACTTCAAGATGAATCACCAGACATAAACAATTGTTAGTCCTAGACATAAAAGAGCTCATACTGTGGGCTGTGGCCATAAGACTATGTTCTTCAGGACTTTTTTTATTGTTGTCTTTGTTTGTTTGTTTGTTTGTTTTGAGACAAAGTCTCACTCTGTCTCCCAGGCTGGAGTGCAGTGGCACGATCTCAGCTCACTGCAACCTCCACCTCCTAAGTTCAAGCTATTCTCCTGCCTCAGCCTCCCAAGTAGCTGGAATTACATGTAAGCACCACCACGCCCAGCTAATTTTTGTATTTTTTAGTGGACAGTGGGTTTCACCATGTTGGCTGGGTTGGTCTCAAACTCCTGACCTCAAGTGATCCACCCACCTCGGCCTCCCAAAGTGCTGGGATTATAGGCAAGAACCACCGTGCCCAGATGTTCTTCAGGTTTTGGTTTTTGTTTTGAGTTGTTTTGTTTTGTTTTTAGAGACAGGGCTTGCCTTAACCTGGGCTGGAGTACAATGGCACATTACAGCTCACTGAAGCCACGAACTCCTGGGTTAAAGAGATCCTCCCACTTCAGCCTCAGCCTCCCAGTTAGTTGAGACAACAGGCACACACCACCATGCCTGGCCTATGTCCTTTAATACGTGCTTTCCAAGAGTTGGCCTTCTCAAAACTGAAACAACTCATCAGTCTGTATGCCATTATTAAGGAATTTATATTAAGAAACAGATGTATACAAACGGCATCCCTATTTAAAATGTATCTTTCTAGAAACCTAAAACACTGAGATAACAATACTTTAATTGAATGGATATTTAAATTTTAAATTATGTTAAGTGAATCTTCAGGAAATCTGGTTAATGTTTATACATGTTAAATGGAAACATTTAATATGAATCTAAATCTAGTAATCTCAATGGCCTTTAATCAGTAGGCAAATCTCCTTTGCTAAAGGAAAAGCTGCATAATATAGTTATTTTAAATATAATCGATTCCTTATGTGTTATATTCATAATAAAATTTTAATCCCGTAAGTGTATCCCATGGATTCTTAAGAAACAGAACTTTTCTTGTTCTATTGCTAAATTGGAGACATTCCTTCATATTTCAAAATATTTTTAAATAATCAAGATATCAAATACTGGTTTAAATTTACTATTTGGAGGAGGTGACTTTCAAACTATTGAAACGTCAGCTTACAAAATACAGCGAATTTCTTTTTTCTTGAAGACTTTTGTCTCTTCCAAAAAGAAACAAGGTACACATAGAAATAAAATCTTCAAGACACAATTTCATTTAATTTTTTTACATTTATTTACTTTTCTAATCAAACTTCTATTTTTATTTTAAATAATACTCAATTGTAGAAATTTTGCAAGAATGGTACAACAAACATCCATGATATTCACTAAAATTCATCACATTTTAGCAATTGGTACATTATCTGTCTCTCAATCTCTCTCTCTCTCTTTAGGTAGCCATAAATTAAGCTGTTAAGTCATTGAAAGACATAATCATACGTGCAATTTTACCCCTATATATTTTGCATGTATGTCCTAAGAATGAGGACATTTTTCTTAATAAAAGGTAATACAACTATCATACTCAGGAAATTTAACATAAATATGACACTGTTTCCTAATATACTACTTTCTCTATTCAAATTTCCCTAATTGTGCAAATAATAACCTTTATGGCTTTTTCTTTCAATCAACCACCCAATCAATCTAGGATTATCCATTGATTAAATTTAGATTTGATATCTCTTTAATGTACAGCAGTGTTCATTTTCTTTTTGCTTTTCATAATATTGATATTTTTTGAAGAGTATAGGGTAGCAGTTTTGCAGAATTCCTCACAATTTGGACACTTCTGATTGTTTATTCAGTAAGACATTCAAGTTAAACATATTGGCAGGATTACTACATTGGTGACAGTAAAAGGAAGATACTTTTAAATTAATGCAGTTGAAAAAGAGGCTGACTGAGCCCTTACTATGTGAAAATTTAGTAAGAATTCTGTATGAGTCAGGCACAGTCTTAACCTGTCTTCAGTAAACTCACAGCCTCTTGGGAGCCTTACCATCAATGAAAAGTTAAGTAACAATAAAGATCAAAGCAGCAGCAGTGACAAATATGGCTAAATCTCCCAGTTTGAAGGAAATTATTTCCCAAACTAGGGTTACTCCATATATCAAGTGGTCTAATAATCATGGAACTGTACTTACTATTGCTACCATATTTAAAAAGTATTTAACCCCAAGGTCGCAAATTGCACAGTGGGTAACTATGTCTATGTATTAGTTTATTTTGCATTGCAATAAAGGAATACCTGAGGCTGGGTAATTTATAAAGAAAAGAGGTTTATTTGGCCCAGAGTTCTGCAGGCTTTACAAGAATCATGGCACTGGCATCTTCTTGGCTTCTGGTGAGAACTCAGGAAGCTTTTACTCATGGCAGAAGGCAAGGGAAGCCAGTGTGTCACCTGGAGAGCAAAGGAACAAGAGAGAGGAGAAGGTGCCAGGCTCTTTTTAACAATCAGTTATCATGTAAACTAACAGAGCAAGAACTTATTACCACCAGGGTGACAGCAAGCCATTCATGAGGGATCCACTCCCATAATCCAAGCACTTCCCACCATGCGCCACCTCTAACACTGGGGGTCACATTTCAACATGAGATTTGTTGGTGACAAACAACCAAACCATGTCAGCCCAAGATCAGCAAACAGAAAGCTTACATCCAATCCCTACTCATACCCCCCTAGTTCACCCATCTTTGTCCACTTCTCTTATCTGTTCTGTCAACATTACAGAGTGCGGATTTGTCCTAGAAATTTGGTACTTGTTTGAATTCTCATCTTTCTTTCAGGACCCTCTGTTCCATTTTGTCCTAGACAAGTAAATGACACGGATTCCATAACAACAAGAATAAAATGATTTCCGAAGATAGCATATTTCCTAATTTGACAATACTTATTAAACACACATTATAACCAGGTCCTCATTCAAATGTAAACAATGGTTTCCTACCCTCCTGGAGCCTGAATTTTATCGCTGGGAAGGAAGCAATCAATAAAAAAGTAAATTAGAAAGCATTGAATGATAGTAAATGTTATGAACATTTTTTGAAAGGATGATATAGAGTGATCAGATGGCACATTAAGTTTGAATTATCAGAGAAGGGCTTTCTATGTGCATTGATTTAAGTAAAAACCTGGAAGACAGAAAGAAACCAGCCATAAAAATTCATAGAAAAAAGAAATCCATGAATTGAGAAAATGATTGTTAAGGCTCTAAAGTGGAACGAATTTCTTATATTTGAGGAACGAGTAAAACGACTCTAGTGTCTGGAGTAAGGTGGGCAAAGAGAAAAAATGATGGGAGAAGACAGAGTCAAAGGTGCACATGTTTGCTATGATAAGCTTATCAGACTTCTAAATAATAGAAAAGTTAACAAGTATCTGATATGTAGAAGTATCTTCTACTTGAATATAAGTATGGGCTTCAGGAGCTATTACTTGGAAAGTATAGAGACTTTTGCTGCAGTAAGACTTGTATAGCAGTGAGGAATCCCTCTCTTTGGCCTTGAGTCCATTGCAAGAGAGTAAGTAAAACAGGTCTACATGTTTTTTTTTTTTTTCTATTTGATGATGGATGATGTCTCCTTCTGTGTGTGTTAAGTGGGATGCCCATTGCAACTAGTCATTCTAACTCGGCCTAGAATTTACAGGCAAGAAGAAAAAAATACAGGAAGATGAATAGCTCAGTGCCAAACAAGATTTGCTTCAACAGATCTTTAAAACAGAAATTAAAGGAGGAGAGAGAGTAGCTCCAAATGGTTGTAAAAATACCAGAATGGTTTATTATTATTCAAATGACATTAATGTATTAGAATGAAGAAGTTGATAACCAAAACACTAGTGCCCTGTTTAGTTAATAATTCATTCATTCTGGTTACATTAATGGGATTATTAGTATGAGCCAAACAAAGCTATATCCTGAGACAGAGAAAGCAACTAGGCATAGGCCTTGCTTTCAGTGAAGTCACATATACAAAGAGAGACAGAAAGCAAAAACCTTTGATTACACTACAGAGTAAGAAGTGTTAGGCAAATAGGCACAGGGTGCTCTGAGAATTAAAAAGAAGAAACCAAGAGCTGAGGAACCTAATCCCTTGTCTCCTTGTCAAGGAAGACTAAGAGGAACAGACATTTGTTATACCTGAGCTGGCTCTGTAAGGATCAGTGAGTATGGAAAGAAGGATTTTAAATGGTCTGCATGTGCAGAATCATAGAGAAAAAAAAATTAAATCTATCTATCCATATATCTGTATTTATATACTTATATTTGTTTATGTATTTCTATGCCATATTGTGTGTGTGTGTGTGTGTGTGTGTGTGTGTGTGTGTATGGCTACATCTTCATTGGTTGACAATAGATAAAGCACATGGTTTATTTGAGCTAAGGAATTTAAATATCCTCTTGAGAATGACAAAGATTGATAGAATGATTAGGAAGTTTGAGCAAAAATGTAACCTGATTTGATTTGCACTTTAAAATAATGGAGAGTTGGTGATGGATTTGAGGGTAATGAAAGAGTTGTTCTGCACAGGTCATGTTGCTTTACATAGTGTTGGAGAGATGAGAGGACAAGGTCCAGGAGGAACCCACACCCACATTCCTGGTTTGGGGGTTGGAAAGATGTCAGGATATCAATGAGGAAGAAGAGAGGCAACTGTGGGAGGAAATAAAAGATGAAGGGTAACTTCTGCTTTTCTATTTCCACCCCTGTCTCTAGAATTAAACAAAACAATTTTGGAATTTCTGTTCCCCTTGTCAGTATGGACATACTTACTTGCATTGTATCCCTTTGGTTTCCAAAGAAGAGTTAGGAAAATAAATTTAAAATGTTGAGAAGATCATTTCAAGTGGGTGGTGGTTTTCCAGGCTGTGGGATCGGGAGGCCGACTGGGCTCCAGAAATTATATTCTTTCTTGCTGTATAAACAGGTTTGCCATTATAAGCATTTAGGGTGAGATATCAAAAAGTCTTAACTCACCCCTTGTTTGTCACATATGGAGAATTACGAACAATAGTCCTGCTATAGCCGAATAACATGTAAAGCAAAATCCTGAGAACAGATTGAAAATTACAGATGGTTCATAATCAAAAAAGAAATCAGGCAGTGAATAGAGCACACGTTTAAAAAATACCGAAGCACATCTGCAACCCTTCATGAGCCACCTGCCGGCCTCTGGGCTATTCCCATAAGGGCAAGAAAACATGGATGCAGCTTCAGTGAGGGGCATGTAGATCAGTATTGAGCAAATTAAAATTTGATGCTACAGGCTCACAGAATAGAGGCAAAACTAGATGTGTATAAACTCTACACATCTCTTTTATCTTCTACACATCTTCTTTCCATGGGTAGAGGAAGGACAGAGTATTGCAGGAGATCGGGATACAGGACTGAATGGAGTTCAAGGCAGCTCCCTTTTGTCTCTGGCTTTATGCTGGTTTTACTTTTCATTCCAGTAAGCTGTTAGGGGGCAGAGATGAAACACAGTTGTTTACAGGACTTGGAACGTTTACATTTAATCACACTTTCTTAAGATAGTGCTACTGTCATTTTCCTTACTGTTTGCAAAATCACCCACCATATTTTTTTTTTTTTTTTTTTTGCTGGGATGAGCCTGCGAAAATGATGCTGAACTTAATTTTTTACTACTTTAAAGAGTTGAGAGTTATAGGATTCCTCTTGGGGTTCTTATAATAATCCACACTAAGAGAATAAATTAATAATATTTAAGTTAATGTAAACTTTAAATTTAATAGAAAATCTATTTTATGAGGCTAAATCTCATTTTATAGCACATGCCACCCAGTTAGAGAAGAGAAAATAGACATCTAAGTATCAGTTTTAAATTATGAATGTAATAAGTGGCTTATTTAATGTTATTATCTATGGCAGGGCAGGGGTTAAAACATCAGGTCCCTAAATCAGATCTGAGATTTTTTTTCTCAGTTGGGTTATACTACACAAGGAACACTTCACAGCTCTGTGAAAGCTCCTTCTGTCTGCAAACCATACTGCAAGATGTCAGAAGGCACAAACACCAAAGTGAGATGTGCTCTTGACCCATTCTGTTGTTAGCAAGTGACAGAAATGTCTTTCAGCAGAATAATTATAAGGTTATGGTCCACAGACAGTCATTTATGAATACAGTAATGTGCACCTGCTGACTAGAAGCTGTGATTTTAAAAGTTCATTCTCCCTGTAAAAATAGAATCTCTTTCTTCTTAAAAATGAAAATGATCAGATATAAAGGTACACTTTAGCATTTGTCTTAAAATAGTCAATTTTACTATTAATAACCTAATTAGGGGAAGATCTCTGTACCCCTTCTGCAATTAAAGCTATGAATTTAAATATCTCTAAGGAAAGCTCAAAATAGAAAGAAAAAAATGAGCTTAATACCAATTCAATTAGCAGTTGTAGCAAAGTTTAATTTATTTGGATAGCCAAGGGTAATAATTATATGATCCTGTATAAATAGCATGCTGCACATTTATATTCTCTCTTCTTTTATTTGTATTCATATCACAAGGATGCCTATATTTAGACTTTACATGAAATGTATTAACCAAACATCTCTGAAAGGGTAACTACAAAGACAATTTCACAGAGAATACTGATACTAAAACTTCAATCAGCATATATTAAAGAGGGGTGTCCTTTCCAATTAAGATAATTTTCTTTGTATAGCCATGTTACATGGGTTTGGTATGTCCCAGGGAAGGATGCACATCAAAAGACTGTGTAATTATGCTGAAAGAAGTTCTATCATCTAATACAGTCTATGAGGCTGCAGTTGCTATAGTAACTGCTTTCCTACAAGATCTCTCGTACACAGTAATTTCCTAGCTTTTTCCATTCCAATCAATGTAGCACCCATGTGTCCTTTTTGAATGTGATGGTTAGGTCCTTGGTGTTCCCACAAAAAGGACAAATCTGCTATTTACAAGTAATTATGAAGGTTCTTGATTTACATTATTTTGTATTCATTCATATATCAGTTTACTTTGTATCTGCCATGAGACTAAATAACAAAAGGCAATCATTTAGAAGTGAGTTTCTCTATTAGGCAGTGTAAAACAACCCATTTGCAACTTTATTGCAATATTGATTGTATGAAGAAAAGATCTTGCTTAGTGAGGGTGTTTAATTGTCCTCATTCTTAAAATGAGACAAAATTTAAAGAATCACTAACCAGGATCACTTAAGGGCCTTCTTGCTGCCCTTAGCATCATCTGGCATATAATAAACATTTAATACATGTTATAATAAACATTTAATAAATGTTATAATAAACACCATATATATTTATTATATTTACAACAAGCAATGTATTTCATGTTTTCTATGTATGATCTCATATAATTCTCACAGTACTCATATAAATCATACTTTATATGAGATATTTTAAGCCCAGAAAAAATAAATAAAATGTTCAAGATTATACTAACATTACCAGGGAAAACTAAGACATTGTTCTATTGAAGCTGGGGCAAAAAGTAGAGATTTAATGACTTGTGACAACAACTTGTGAATAAACATTCTGTGTGTGTGATGGCTATTATTCCATAAAGTTGAATTTAAAGGTAAAAGGAAAACATTAAATTTATCATTGGTGCTAATTTATCAATCCACATTTTGACTGCCTACCATGTGTCAGGCACTGTCCTAGGCACTAGAGATATGGCATTAAGAAAAACCAAACCTTGTAGTCATTAAATATATGTGCCAGGTGGGGACATGAACAGCAGGAATGAGCCCTACACAATTCCTCCAAGTTCTATGAAGACTGGAAGCTTCAGAACTAAACACAACCTTCTACAAATGCTTCTTTTACCACTTAGTTGTGTAATTTTGAGCAAATTAATTTACCTTTTGGGCATTCCACTTCCCTTTTTGCAAGACAGGTTATGCATTTATGTACATTAATTGAGATGATGTCTTTGTCTGTTTTCTACTGCTGTAACACAATACCACAGATTGGGTAATTTATAGAGAAAAGAGGTTTATTTGGCTCACAGTTCTAGAGGCCAGGAAGTCCAAGATTTAGGAGCTGCATCTGGTCAGGGCTTTCTTGCTGCCTTGTACTGTGAAAGAAGGGCAAGTAAGCATGTGAGACAGATAAAGAAACAAACTCATCTTTTTAATCAGGATCCCATTCTGGGATCTCAAAATATCAGCATTAATCCATTCATGAGGGCAGAGCCCTCATCATCTAATAATGTGTTAAAGGCCCCACCTCTTAATACTGTTACAATAGTAATTATATTTCCAATACATGAACTTTTAAGGGTCACATCCAAACTATAGCAGAAGGTAATGTAAAGGTTTAAGAATGTCGTCATTTCCCAACAAGTATTTCTGGAATCTGCTTTTTCCTATGAAAATCAAGACTCTGTAGTAAAAATTGTTTTGTCTCTATCCTAGAATTTAGAAGATCAGATAAATAGAAAAAAGGAAAAACTTATTAGGTAAGAGGTCATTGCAATTTACATTGTGGAGTAAATTAGAAAAGAAATTCCCAATACCAGCATTGCATGGTCCTGTGAAGCAGCCAGTGTACCTGAAGTATCCAGGTATAGATAGTGCCATAGCAACACTCTAATAATAATGGAAGTAGCATAGGAGTATGTGTTTATGTATAAAGGGCTTAGCATAAACTGGCATATAATAAACATTCAATAAATGTTATAATAAACACAATATTTATTATATTTATAACAAGCAATGTATTAAATGTTTTATATGTATGATCTCATTTAATTCTCAAAATACTCATATAAGTCATACTTTATAAAAAAGATATTTAAGCCAAGAAAGAATAAGTAAGTGTCCAAGAGGAATAAAATACACTTTTTGCTCGAAAATAACTACTAACATGGATGACAGTGGAGTATAGTTGAAGATCATTGAATGAGGCTGACATATGCAGGAGGCTCCAGAGAGAACCATATTAAAGGCAGTTTCCTCAGCCACAGGTAAGACTTTCCAAGAGATAAAGTTAGAAGTTACCATCATTGTCCACTATTTTTAATTTGGCTATATTCAAAATATTCTACAGATTACATAATGTTATTTAATGTCATTACAAAATCTTCATTCAACAACCTTTTGAAATAATGTACTAGTAAGATTCATGAATATGGCAAGCCCCAAAAGACCATGGCAATCAAAGCCATGGTACCCCTTAGTGGGCAGAAAAGTAAAGCTTGGTAGGTAGAGAATGAAGCTTTACTAGGGTTTATTTATCCAAGAAAGCTGTGTATTACACTACAAATTATGTTCAAGTCTCATAAATACTCGTTTTCCAGTTCATGTGAAATGTATTACCTCTCATTAAATTATTTCAGTTTATGTTTAAAAGTTGTATAATACAGACAGAGAACAGCATGGATCTATTACTTATGTGAATTTGTTTTAAAAACCAGTGATTCAAAGTGAGTGCAATAAAAAATATATCTTATATCCTAATTAGAATTTGTATTAAAAATACTCTCAAACACTTTGGTTTAAACTTTTTACTGGCAATAAAATTTTACAGATTTAAACTGAATAAAATTAACAATGTTATGGTGTAAAATCGGCTGTCAAGTGAGCTTCAATAAGACTAACAACAACTGACTTCTCACCAGAATCAATTGAAATGAGGTATCAGTGGGATAACATTCAAGGTGTTGAAATAAATGGAATGGCAAACCAAAATTCTACATCCAGGAACACCATCCTCTGAAAATGAAAAGTAAATGGATATACTCTCAAATAAGCAACAATATAGAATTCTTTACTAACAGACAGCCCCACGTGCTATATTAAAAGAGATTTCTTCCGGTAGAAATAAAAGGACACTAGAAACAGACTTAAAGACACATGAACAAATAAATAATATTGGCAAAGGTAGTAAAAATAAATAGCAACAATAATAATACCCATATTGTAAGTATACTACATGAAATTTGTTATCAGTTTTTTTTACTTTATAACTCTTTTCTATCTAAACAAAAGACAACTTCATAAGGCAATTATCATAAAACTGTGTTGATGGACTTATATAAACGTATAATTTATGTGACAATACTAGCACAGTGAGGGGAAACAAATGAAGTTATATTTGAGCAAAGTATTTTATACTATTAAAACTAAATAGGTGCCTGTAATCCCAGCACTTTGGGAGGCCGAGGCGGGTGGATCACGAGGTCAGGAGATCGAGACCATCCTGGCTAACACGGTGAAACCCCGTCTCTACTAAAAATACAAAAAATTAGCCGGGCGAGGTGGCGGGCGCCTGTAGTCCCAGCTACTCGGGAGGCTGAGGCAGGAGAATGGCGTGAACCCCAGGGGGCGGAGCCTGCAGTGAGCCGAGATTGCGCCACTGCACTCCAGCCTGGGCGACAGCGAGACTCCGTCTCAAAAAAAAAAAAAAAAAAAAAAAAAAAAAAAAAAAAAAAAACTAAATAGGTATTAATCTAGATTAGATCACTTTAAATTAAGATGTAAATTATAATCCCCAGGGAAACCACTAAAAGGGTAACTCAAAAGAATACAGTAAAAGAAAAACAAGAAGATTATAATAATACATAAGAAAATATCAAATTAATACAAAAAGTGTTATAATAAAAAAGGGAAAAATGACACAAGGCATACAGAAAGCAAAATGCAACTTTAATCCGAACTTATGAGTAATTATATGAACCATAACTGAATAAAACAATCTAATTGAAAGACAGGCACTGGAAGAATGGTTAAAATAAAACCGTAGCTCAACTATATATTTTCAACAAAAGACACATATTTAATTAAAAAAAAACACAAATAACTTGAAAATAAAAGGATGGAATAAAGATATGCCATGAAATCAGTAACCCAAAGAGAGGTAGAATGGCCATACCATTATCAAACAAAATAAATGTTAAAAAATAAAACAGCTACTACAGACAAAGTGAGACATTTTGTAATAATAAAGAGGAAATCCATCGGAAAGACATTGCAATTATAAACATATATATGGATCACCCTAACAGTAGAGCTTCAACTACATGAAACAAAAAATGACAGAATTGAAAGAGAAAAATACAACAATAATATTTGGAGAACACAATATCACACTTTCAATAATGGACATAACAACTAGGTTAACCATCCACAATAAAATAGATTTGAATAACACTATATACCAACTAGACATAATGGACTTCGTAGTCCATCCAAAACCAATGGAGCACACATTCCTTTCAAGAGTACATGTATAGACATTCTACATTCTGCCATATATACTGTATGTTAGGCCATAAGATAAGCCTGAGTTAAATTAAATTAAAGGGGTTGAAATTATGCAGATTGTTTCTCTGATCATGGTGAATAAAATTAGAAATTAATATCAGAAGGAAATTTGGGCATTTGGACAATTCACAAATATGTGGCAATTAAACAACACACTTCTGAATAACCAATGGGTTGGAGAATAAATCACAAGGTAATCAAGAAAAGAAAACTTTGATCAGAATTAAAACAAAAAGTCAAAATACCAAACTTATGAGATACAGATAAGCAGTTCTTCAAGAAAAATTTTGAACACTAAATGCCAATATTAAAAAAAAGACTTTAATCAATAATCTAAACTTCTACCTAAGAAAGGTTAGATTAAGCTCTACAAAAGAAGAACAAACTAAGCCCAAAGAAAACAAAAGGAGAGAAATAATAAAGATTAGAGCTGAAATAAATAAAATAGAAATATGAAAATGACAAAGAAAATCCACAAAGTCATGTGTTGCTTCTTTGAAAAGATTAACAAAGTTAACAAACTTGGTCAGCTAGACTAACCAATAAAAAAGAGACAAGATGCAAATTATTATGATCAGAAATGATAGGGGGATTGATGCCAAAGAAATAAAAGGGATTATAAGAAAATATTGTGAACAATTGTATGTAACAAGTCAGAAAACCTAGATGCATTGGACAAATTCCTAAAGAGAAACAAACTACTAAAACTGACTCAAGAAGAATTAGAAAGTCCTAATAAACCCACAAGTAAAACAATTGAATTTGTAATTTTAAAACTTTTCACACAAAAGTCAAAAGGTAGGTGCCTCCACTGGTAAATTCTTCCAAATATTTACATAAGAATTAACACTAATAAGTCACAGATCTTCCAATAAATAGAAGAAAAATAACACTTTACAACTCATTCCATGAAGCTAATATTACCCTGATACTAAAACAAAGATATCATAAGATAAAAAAATTACAGACAAATACGCTTTATTAACATAGATGCAAAAATCCTTAATAAATACTAACAAATTGAATCCAGCAGCATAAAAAAGTTTTGTAAACTGTGACTAATTGAGATTTATCCCAGGAGTGTAACATTTGTTTAACATCCAACATTCTATAAATGGAACACATTATATTAATAGAATGGAGAAAAAATACACGTGGTCATCTCAAAAGACAGAAATAACATTTAACAAATTCAACATCCTTGTAAGATATAAACACACAATAAACTAGCAATATAATGGAATTTCCTCAGTTTGATAAAGGGATCAATAAAAAACCGACAACTAGTATCATACTTCATGATGAAGAACTGAATGATTTTCTCCTAAGAAATAAGACATGAATATCATCTCTTGCTACATCTATTAAACATTATAATAGAAGTTTTAGCCAAGGCACGTGGGGGGAAAAAAAGAAAGGAAAGAAAAGAAATAAAGGACATTCATATTGGAAAGGAAGAATTAAAAATAACTTTATTTGTAGGTGGCGTAATCTTATATATAGAATATCCTAAGGAATTCATTTAATACAACTAAAACTAAGAAATGAATTCAGTAAAAATGAAGGACACAAGGTCAATATACATAATTACTTTTATTTTTATACACTGGCAACAAACAGTTGAAAAATTAAATTATGAAGCTCTTATTTATAATAGTATTAAAAGAATAAAATACTTGTGATAGTGGCAGGAGGCAGATAAATTGCTAGGCAGACAGGGAGGGGTCCCCAGTGAAACCTGATCTTCAAACCAAAGACAACTTAAAACCTGAAAACTGAGTTGCCAGTTCTGGGGAGTCCACAATGGGAGTGAGAACTTCCTTGATGCCTTCTAGCCAATTGAATGGTGCTTTTTCCAGGCCTTCCCATGGACCAATCAGCATGCATTCCCGCATTCTGAGCCCATAAAATCCCAGACTTGGCCAGTCACAGTGGCTCACACCTGTAATCCCAGCACTTTGGGAGGCCAAGGAAGGTGAATCACCTGTGGTCAGGAGTTTGAGACCAGCCTGGCCAACATGGTGAAATCCAGTCTCTACCAAAAATACAAAAATTAGCCAGTTGTGGTGGTGCTACTTGGGAAACTGAGGCAGAGGTTGCAGTGAGCCAAGACGGTGCCATTGCACTCCAGTCTGGGCGACAGAGCAAGACCCCATCTCAAAACAAACAAGAAACCCAGACTCAGCCACACATTCGGCTACCCACTTTTGTGCCCTCGCTCACAAAGAGGTCTACCTATTTCAGGTCCCCTCTCATTGTCAAGAGCTTTTCTCTTGCTCAAAAAAATTCTTCCCTGTCTTGCTCACTCTCTGATGTCCATGTAACCTCATTCCTCTTGGACATGGGACAAGAACCCAGAACCCACCAAACGGAAAGTGAGAAAGGAGCTACAACACTGTAACCATTCCGCCCTCCACCTCACATAATGGGAAGCTGCAGCAGTGGGACCAGACCAGACCAGACCAGCCAGGAGCCACAGGCCGGAGTGGGGCAGCATGACCAAACAAGCTGTGGTCCTCATTTGCCAAAGTGTGCAGACAGCAGGAATGAACAAACTGTAATGCTTCCTGTGGGCTCAAACTTTGAAATCCCCAGATGAGCTTTGTAACATCCCTTGGGGCTTCGTGGCTGCTGGCATCTTCAAGTTTTCAGATTCTGCCATGTCCCCCTCATCCAGAGGCCAGGGAACACAGTGAAAACCACCCAGAGCACACCAGATTCAGCCATGAACTGAGAGTGAGGAGTCCTTGTGTAGGTGTAGGATCCAGGCCAGTAGTGTCAACTGATTGCAGCCTGCTGGGCCAAGTGGGCAGAGTGAGCACAGCCATGAACCCAAAGCCGAGCGAAGCCCAGGCAGAGGTGCTGCTGGCCACAAAGATTTCCAGCTGGCAAAGTGGCACTGAACCTGTGTCATTTAGAAATAAATATAATGAAAAAAGTGTAAAAGTTGTTCACTGAAAAAAATGTAAAGCATTTTGAAGGAAAATAAAGGAGATCTAAATAATTGGAAAGATATCCTATGTTCATGCATCAGAAGACTAATTATTACTACAATACTTTCCAAATTGTTCTACAGCTTTAATGCAATCCCTACCAAAATTCCAGCTTCTTCGTTTTTGCAGAAATTGCCAAGATGATACCAAAGCTCATATGGAAATGCAAAGGATTCAGGATAGCCAAAGCAAACCTTGAAAAAAAAAATAAAGTTTTAGGACTTACATTTCCTAATTTCAAAACTTACTACAAAGCTATAGTAACCAGGACAGCATGGTACTGGTATAAGAATAGACAAATAGATAAAGGAAATAGAAGTAAAAGTCCAGAAACCAACCCTGAAAGTAGTGGTCAATTGATTTTCAATAAAGGTGCCGATATACCTCAATAGTGAAATAATAGTCTACTCAACAAATGGTACTGGAAAGCTTGTTATAGACTGAAAGAAGATAAAGTTGAACCCCTACTTCAAGATATATTCAAATTTTAATTCAAAAAGTATCAGACCTAAGTTTAAAAGCTAAAATGATAAAACCCACAGGGGAAAAAATATGAGTAAATCTTTGTAATGCTGAATTAGGCAATAGTTTATCATATATGACTCCAAAAAACACAAGTAACAAAAGAAAAAGTAAATTTACTTCATGAAAATTAAATGCTTTTTTATTGCAAAGGACACCATCAAGAATTGAAAAGGTCTCCCATAGAATGGGAGAAAGTATTTGCAAATCCTATGTCTAGTAGAAGACTATGTCTAATATTGTATCCACAATATATAAAGAAGTTTTTTGCAATTCAGCAACTAAAAGACAAATATCCTAATAAAAATGACTGAAGGATTTAGGCCAGGTGTGGTGGCTCACGCCTGTAATCCCAGCACTTTGGGAGGCCGAGGCATGCAGATCACCTGAGGTCAGGAGTTCAAGACAAGCCTGACCAACATGGAGAAACCCCACCTCTACTAAAAATACAAAACTAGCCAGGTGTGGTGGTGCATGCCTGTAATCCCAACTACTCAGTAGGCTGAGGCAGGAGAATCGCTTGAACCCAGGAGGTGGAGGTTGCGATGAGCCAAGATCGCGCCATTGCACTCCAGCCTGGGAACAAGAGCAAATCTCCATCTCAAAAGAAAAAAAAATGACTGAAGGATTTACATAGACAGATAGACACTTCTCTAAAGAAGTTATGAAAACAGCCAATTAATACACCAAATGATGCTCATTAACATAGCATTAAGCAAATATAAATCAAAACAACAAAATATTATTTCATATGCAGAAAAATGGCTGAAATAGACTAAGATAGATGATACAACAAATGTTAGTGAGGATGTGATGAAAAAAAGAACCCTCATTTATTACAAATGGGCACATAAACAGTACAGCCACTTTAAAAAAAAATAGCTCTTCAAAATGTTAAAGTTCCCATGTGACCCAGCAATTCCAATTCTAGATATATACTCAAAAGAAATTAAAATATATTTTCCATGACTATTGTATACAACTGTTCATAGCAAAATTATTTATAGTGGCCAAAATGTGAAAACACCCAAAATATTCATAAGTGGATGAATACGTAACTAAAAATGTATTTGGTAGTAAAATAGATGAAGTAATGATGCACATTACAATATGGCTGAGTGCTGAAAACATTATGCTAAATGAAAGAAGTCAGTCACAAAATACCACATACTGCATCATTCAAAATTTATTAAATATCTAGAAAAAGTAAATTCATAGAGACCAAAACTAGGCTGTTGTTTGCCAAATGATGAGGCGGGAGAAGAATGAGGTATGACTGATAATAGGGTGATAGATATGTTATGGAATTAGATAGTAGTGATGGTTGCAAAATTCTGTGACTATATTAAAAATCACTAAATTGTGCACTTTGAGCCAATTTTATGGCAGGTGAATTATATCTCAATAAAATTGTTACAAAAAATGCATTAAAAGGAGAGTCTCTGACCCAGAATGAACCTTAACAATTATTTGGCCTTCATCTGTTTATTCAACAGATTAGAAAATTGAGGCCAAAATAGGATACATTAATTATTTAAGGTCTCAAAGCTCAAGACCTCATGGACACTTTGTTTCCTCTTTTGTAAGAAAAAGGGGGGGGGCGGGGGGGGCACCAATGATTACTCTGTAAAACTAGAGATTACAGTATATATCCTAGCTAAAATACTCAAATACAATATAAATAGGTAACAGTAACTACACTGATCAAAAGAAATAGTTTTGTGCCTGTATAAAATATATGACAATGTGTCTTCCAGCTCTTGCATATGTCATATACTCTATATTATTCTGCCTCCAATGAGACATACATGGAAGGCACTATGCAGTATTATAAATCCACTCATTCATTCTTCATGTGTTAAATCATCTACTCAATACAAAGATCTGAGCTAGGCTGGGGTAGTTGGTGATGGTAGAAGGGTAAAGGGATTCAAAATATACTGGTTTTTTGTCTTTAAGAAGCTAAAATCCAAAAGATGTAATGTACCTATCACAACCTCTGAATGTAAGTCAAGTTTCATAGGACAAAGCTGACTCATTTTAGACTGACAATTGTAACTATGATATGCAGACCATATTTGTGTGATTCCTCATAGTTAGGCCTAAATTTTGAGACCAGATTTATACTGCAGGATTTGGAGACTTTTGGAGACTGCTATTTCTACATAGCATCAAGCTTAAAATCTGATTTTAAGATCTTGATGCAGAGTTCATACACCTCACCAGAAAAGGTACAAACTTCGAAGAAACTCCCCACAGAATTAATCAATAGTAATAGTGAGAGAGGAGGAAGGAAGAAATCAGGCAGGCAGGCAGGCAGACAGGCAGTTAGAGCGGGTCCTCAGTAGAACTCCTTCAAGAACAGCCTGAGAATCAAGCTGCAGGCCCAAGATAAGCAAAAGCCTGTGTTCCTAAGTGTAAACACCCACCCTGTGAGCCCAAATGAAAAAATTCCACTCCTTTTTTGAGCATTTTTCTCTCCCCTTGGCACACCTTTGTCCCATTTTGTGTGCTTCCACCTGATTGGCTCTTACCTTTCACCTGTTTTGCATATACCTATCTTTCTGTGATTGGAAGGGGGCCAAATCTTCATTTACATAAATTGAAACATCATTCTAGCTCCTGATTGGTTGTGGGCCAAGCCTTCACTTCTGCCTCTAATTGGAGCTTTATGTTATCATGTCTCTTTCTGAATGGTGCTTTTTCCAAAATGGCCTGCAGACCACTCAGTGCACTCCTTATTCCTAGTCCATAAAAACACCAAACTTAGTACCAGAGTCAGCAACCCTCCTTCTGGTCCCCTCTTGCTGCTGAGAGCTTTTCTGTCCCTTAATAAATCCCTGTGTTACTCACTCTCCTGTGTCCACGTTGCTTATTCTTCTTAGTCATGGGACAAGAACCTGGA
This sequence comes from Homo sapiens, assembly GCF_000001405.40. Taxonomy (NCBI): domain Eukaryota; kingdom Metazoa; phylum Chordata; class Mammalia; order Primates; family Hominidae; genus Homo; species Homo sapiens. The sequence goes on along the minus strand of NC_000004.12, from coordinate 156,073,640 downwards.
ACTCACTGAAAAGCAGGAGTGAAGGAGCTGTAATGGTGTAATGGTCCCACTCACCGAGCTGCTTGTGGCAAGGGTCAAAGAACTGTAATATTCCCTCCTGCTCACTGAACAATGGGAGTGAAGAAGCAGCAACAACAGCACCAGAGGGTTGATTTGAAAATGGTGAGGCTCTCAGACAGCTTGTTTGTCTTGAACTTATAGACCAAAAGAACTTCTTCCAGAAGAATATTTGAAAAGTTGTAGAGTTAAAAAACAAACAAACAAACAAACAAAAAACTAATAACCAACAACCACATGGAAAACATTTAAAAAATCTACCTGGAAAACTCTAGGAAAGTTAAAGAACAGAAATTATTTGAAAATTATTTGAATTTCAGCATCCCCATTTTATTAATCTGATCCTTGTATTGCAATGAAAGTTTTCTGAATGTCTTCTTTTTATCTTTAAATAAAATGGAAATTCACAAGCAAAGTTAAAAGTTTTATAAGTGACTTTAATGAACATTATTTTTAAAACCTTTGAATATATATATTACTAGAGAAATCCTTTAGTAAACTCTACCAGAGTCTTCAAAGTGATTGGAAAAATTACTTAAGGATGTTTAGTTTCAAATAACCACGTGATTATAGATTGTCTATTCAACCTAAAAGCAATTTAGTTGACTAAGATAATTTTTTTATTTAAACTGACAACTCTCATAAAATAAGTTTCTTACCTTCAAAATGAGCTGCTTTTTTTCTGTGTGAAAATATTTGCTATATGCTGTTCTACTGAAGAAAAGATAGTAGGATATATATTTTTCTTCTGATAAAATGTTGAGAAATGAAGGAATTGGTAAGAGAATACAATTCAAAGAAACAAAACAAAACTGTTTACAATGGCATGATTCACTAGACCTGAGTTGTTGAATAGTAAATTCCTTAAGGGAGTTGTTTTCAGTACAAGTCTTTCCATGATTAAATATTAAAATTCTGAAAAGCCTTCAAGGTTACCGTTACTTTTCATTAAAATCTTTCAAATTGGTGAAATGTATTAAACTATTAATCCAGGAACATAATGCTTTTTGATTCAAAGCAAAACCCAAAGTAATAAAAATAAAAGGAATTGTAATGTTCAGATATCAACAGATGCCAAGTACTGTGAATCAAAAACAAAATAAAAATGTAGGTAAATGTAACAAGTATCCTGAGGTTCACTTGGCATTAGGATAAAGCTAAAAAACAAATAAATAACTTAATAAGATACCAGATATTGATAGACCTGTTAATTTCTAACCCAATGCTATTAAGTTGTCCACTGAAACTCTACTTTCCAAGCAAATTCTCTTTCTATGTCAAGGGTCAAGAAAAGATAGGATTTCATAGTGTCTCATAACCCATTTTTTAATCTCTATACATCCTACCTGGCCTCCTACATAATGAAATAATACCAATTGACTCCCAATAAATTCAAGTACTCTCTGTCTCAAATCCTGAAATGTAGGCAGAAGTTCATATTGAACAGTGGGAGAAGCTTGGAAATAAACTTTCAAAGGTTCATGTGGTCAAGTTTGCAATTGCTAAAGGGCAGTTCTTTGGTAGCTATTTTTTGTGAGGAAATTATTTAAACTTGAAACATTTACACATACTGATAAGATATTATATTAGAGACTGACACTTATTAAATTTCCATTCCTAATTCACACATTGTAAAGGAAACAAATTAAATATTTTGATTTACTGGAGATAGTAGAATTCTAAAGTGTTCTTAATTTTAGATAAAAATTAGTTTTCTACAACTACTCTACACTGTTCTCTTTATTCCCTCTAGAATTTTTTTTACTGTGGTAAAAACATATACATAAATTTTGCCATTTTTACCATTTTTTAATGTACCACTTAGTGGCATTAAGTACATTCAAAGTGTTGTACAGCCTTTACTGCTATTCATTTCTAGAATTTTTCATCATGTCAAACAGAAATTAGGTACCTATTAAACAATAGCTTCTCATATCCCCTTCTCTCCAGCCCGTGGTAAACTCTAGTATACTTTTGCCTCTCATAAATTTGCCTAATTTAGAAACCTCATATAAGCAAAATCATACATTATGTCTTTTGCATTCGGTTTATTTTACTTAGCATAATTTTTTCAAGGTTCATCATGTTGTAAAATGGCTCAGAATTTCATTCCCTTTTTTGATTGATTTTCTGTATGTATATACCATATTTTGGTTATCCTCTTGATTGACATTTGAGTTGTTCCAGCCACATTGCTCCACCTTAAACAGTAAAATCATCAGGATGGTACAACTATTTGTCTGTCCATAGTAAGGACACAGCCCTCCCTTTTCTTCCCCTACTTTTTAAAATTTGACTGATATGGTTTGGTTCTGTGTCCCCACCCAAATCTCATCTTGTAGCTCCCATAATTCCCATATGCTGTGGAAGGGACCCAGTGGGAGATGGTTGAATCATGGGGCAGGTCTTTCCTGTGCTGTTCTCATGATAGTGAATGGGTCTCATGAGATCTGATGGTTTGAAAATAGGAGTTTCCCTGCACAAGCTCTCTCTTTTTGCATGCCACCATCCACGTAAAGTGTGACTTGCTCCTTTTTGCTTTCCGCCATGATTGTGAGGCCTCCCCAGCCACGTGGAACTGTGAATCCATTAAACTTCTTTTGTAAATTGCCCAGTCTCAGGCATGTCTTTATCAGCCACGTGAAAACAGACTAATACAGGGACACTGGAGGAAGTGAAATCACTGTGTACTCCTTAGCACAGGCCAGATAACAACTGCCTTCATTGTTGGGTCACTTTTAGGATAACTTTATGAAAAGAAAAGAGGCTCATACACCTTTCCTCACCCCCATTTCTTCTTTCCTACTACTTATAGTGGGTGAGCTTACTTCCTGCTTCTGACCTTCTCAGAAATCACTTCCACCAAAGTTTCTCAGCAGATTCAAGTGAAGTCTTGGGTCTTTCTTTTAAACTTTGTCTCAGTAAGTGTCAGTTTTTTATTTAATTTCTTTTCAATTGTTTAAAAGGATTTAGATAACTTCTGACCTTTAATGAAATTGAAAAATGAAGTTCACCATAGGCTAGTTAATTACATTTGCATTATCTCCAACAGCTGATCAAAAGAAAATGGAGTTCTATATATGCTTCACTACAAATTAACAAAATATAATTTTAACACAAATCGTGGAAGTCATCTTTTTCTATTTCACGATATAAATGAAGGTTAAGTAATTTTCTTTTAAATTTATGCCTTCCACCAAAAATACCCCTTTTCTAATCCATTTTCAGATACAGGATTTCTAAACTACAACAACTATAACCATAAATATCTAACTTTTAAAATGTGCCTTTGTTCATCTTGACACTGTGCCCATATACTTCAACCCTGTGCAAAGGTAGGTTTATTCAGGGGATGGGAAAATATGTCTTGGTGTAGCCTAAAATCTGTCATAAGAATTGCTACCTTGGGCATTGGCCAGATTATTCTTTAAACTTCTCTTAAGAACTTTGGCTTTTTGTTTTCTTGCTTCATAATTTTCAGTAATATTTCAAATTAACTAAATAGAGCTCTATAAAAACATACAGGTTCTAAAGCGATTTTTCTGAATCCATGATGTTTTAGTTACTGAGATTTATTCATCTACACAATTATTTGTCATAAAACTTAATCCATTAATTACATTTACAAGCTTCTTCTATTCATTCTATTTTCATTTATATATGATTGATAGAACCCCATAGTAGAAGAAGAACATGGGGAAATACCTCATGTTTTTGGCAAAAGCACTGGTATGTGAATTTAAATTGAGACAATTTTAAGATAGTAATAAGAATATAAAATTCTATGTAGCAATTCTGTCAGAAGATATGGATTATAGAATTCATGTGATCAATATAAATTATTATTTATTCCTTCATCACATGTGGACCTTAATGTTCTAAGAGAAAACAAATGACAGATTAAAATACAAGAAACAATAATTTTTTTGTATTTAACAATTTTTCTTGTACTCAGGCTAAAAGAAATGAAGCCTGAATAAATAATACCTGGCAAAATTGGCTCTGGATTCTATTTGATTTTTCAAGGAAAAATATGTCTTTTATATTGCTTTTAGTATACTACTTATTCTCCAATTGATTAACTGTATTCCATTATAGTCAATAATTTTTAAAGACATGTCTTCAGATGAAAATCGATAATACCTGTTTTTTGTTACCTAGATACTTACCTGATCTTGCACAGGTAAAATAAGCCAGACTTTATTTGATATTTATAATGTCACTAAAGGGTATGGTTTATAATATTTTGTTCATACATTAATGAAAACAATATAAGTATAAATAAGATAGTGCCAGGAAACCATTGTTCTCTCTACAATGTGATGCTTTATAAATGTAATAAATTTTTACTATTAGAAATGAGACTACTTGATCAAATTACATTAAGAATCTAGTTCTATTATTATTGCAGCTTTCTCTGCATTTTTGGTTACCTTAACAAAAGAAAGATAAAGGTTGCAGGAAAATAATAGGTTCCTAAATATTGTATAGTGCAGGGACTGGCTAAGAAGTTACTATTCTCCTAAGAAAGAACTTGAAAACACGATTTTCTTCATCCATTTCTCCCCCACACTTAGCCAAACCCTTCTTGCCTTTCCCTTTTAAAAGCTACTTCGATTCCCATCAATTTTTTCATTCTGAAATTTGTACCAGCAACTCTTATTAACTTGTGTGTAACATCTTATGTAGTTGGGGACGGGGGAAAGAAAAGGAAAAAAGAAAAAATCACTGTTTCCTGGCTTCCTTCATGCACAATTTTAAATAGCTAATGTCTCAGCTGTAGTTAACTACATATTTTCTTCACTGTGTCACAACTATCTTCACATTCTATGAAATGTTATTTTAATATAGGTATTAAATGGGACAGCCACCTGCAATGGCTATAATCTTTGGTTTTTCACTTAAATTATGGAGACATGATCATGCATCCATTACCTCAAAATGCAGTGTGGGGCAGGACAGCTAAAAACCTGGGTTGATACTATGTGACGTGGGGCAAAACAGTTATGCTCTCAGAAAGAAACTGTCTCCTCTGTAGAACTGAAGACTTTATTGTGAATCAAATGAAATGTTGTATCACAATTCTCTTTGTAATTTATGAAATGAGAAGACATTCAATTTTTTGCAAAGTTTGGAATATTCTAATTTCTTAACTGAATGAAAAAGATTAGGAAAGTCTAAGTAGAGTAGTTTTAACTTTAAAATATTACCTTTTTAAATCAATGCAAATATGAAAATGAAAGTAGGATAAGTTGATGGCAACTGTGAACATTGAAAATCCTAAACATGGATAAATAACTAAGACCAGTAAAAGTGAGTGCAATAGTCGAAGAGGTTTTTTAAACAATAATCTATGTTTTCTGATCATTTCATGCTGAATCTGTGTAAATTAAACATTTACTAACCATTTCTACGTGCCCAGATGTTTCTTTTTTCCATTTCATTGGCTTTGTTGAGCTATAATTATCTAGGTAAGATAAAACACAAAATTGAGTGGGTGTGGCACGCCAAAAAATACTCAGGATAATTATATCCAGAAGTGCACCTTTAATTATATCCAGAAGCACACACATTTGAAGCAAATATTTGGTTAAAATCTGAAGAATAAATACTAATACTGAAATTTGAGGGGTTTTTTGCAACACAGTAAAATAAGATCCAGTATTTGAACCACAGTTTTGTCATTTTTTAATGAATTTTGGAAAGTAATTTTATTAAAGTCTCAGCCTATCGTGTGTGATATGTATGTAATAATATGTACTTTTAATATTTGTTCTGAGGATTCATTTCTAAAACATCATTAAAGTCAGCATGGTAGATAAATTTTGGTTTGGTCATGCTTTTGCTCCTTAGCATCTGAAATGCTTCTTCTCTTTTTAGGGACTGAGATTTGAAAAAGAATATGAGGCGGTGGCTCACACCTGTAATCCTAGCACTTTGGGAGGCTGAGGCAGGTAGATCACCTGAGGTCAGGAGTTCAAGACAAGCCTGGCCAACATGGTGAAACCCCATCTCTACAAAAGACACAAAAAATTAGCCAGACATAGTGGTGCGTGCCTGTAATCCCAGCTACTCAGGAGGCTGAGGCAGGACAATCACTTGAACCCACAGGGTGGAGGTTGCAATGAGCTGAGATCGCACCACTTCACTTCAGCCTGGGCTAAAGAGTGAGACACAGTCTCAGAAAAAAATTATTATTATTATTATTATTATTATGGCATGGCAATTTACATAATCCTTATCAATCAGATGCTGCTTTCCTAGACCTTGCATCTAGATGCAGGTGACCTTCCCACTAAGAAAGAAGAATTTAGAAAGGCTTTAGAGTTCACTGTGGCAGAGTGGTATCTATTTTGCATGATGATGCCCAGCATCCAACTGTGGTGCCAGCAGCCTTTTATTGGTGCAATTCATTGACTGGAAGCAATGTTAATTCCACTTAAAGCCAATGTTCCTGTGGCATTACCTTGGTGGTAGTCTCAGCCACCTGCTTGACCTTGTATCTCACCTATTTTAAAGTCTTCCAATAAATTATGTTTCAGTAAATCAGCATTGGTTTCTGCTATTTGCAAAAGGAGTCCTGAATTCAAAGCCTAGTACATTATAGACTCTCAATAAATATTAGTATTGTACTCCCCAAATACTCCCATTACCCATCAACTAAAGCCCACCTATTCCATAAAGTGTGTGTTCATGATGTTTCCCAGCATTCATAGGTGTGTGCATATGCGTGTGCATGTACATACACACACATATATATGTAATGATAAGAAATTGGTTCACATGATTATGGAGGCTGAGAAGCCACAAGGTCTACAGTCAGCAAAGCTGAAGACCCAGAAGAGCCAATGTGTAGTTCCAGTCTGAGTCTGAAGGTCGGGGACCAGGGGAGTAAATGGTATAATTTTCAGTGTGAAAGCCAGCAGGCTTGAGACCCAACAAGAACTCATGTTTCAGTCCCAGGCAAAAGACTGGAAAAAGATCAATGTTCAGCTAAAGCTGTCATAAAGGAGGATTTTCCCCTTTTCTCTTCCTGGTCAATCATTTTGTTTTATTCAGGTCTTCAACGGACTGGATGCAGCCTAGCCACATTAGGGAGGGCTATCTACAGTACTCAGTCTACTGATTCAAATGTTCATCTCATCCAAAAATACCCTCAAAAACACTTCCAGAATAATGTTTGACAAAATATCTGGGCACCCTTTGGCCCAATCAAGCTTACATTAAAAATTAACTATCAGAGAGCAAGAATGTAAGAAGTGCACTATTTGTTCTGGAACATTTAGTATGCAGTATGTCCAAGAAGCAAAGAAGATAATCGGGAATGGGAAAACCCTTGTCCAAGTTGAGAGATGGGTATTTGAAATTAGTACTGGGAAAAAGGGTGCTTGTTGTTTCTATTTTTCTTAGTTGTTAAACAAAATGACTAGAGCAAAAAGATGAAGGGTGAATAAAAACAGAATTGTATTAAAAAACAAAAAACAAATTTGTGGCAGTTTTACATTAATTTGTGTGGCATATAAGTGAAAAGAAAAACTTAAGAAGTAATAAAAAGGCAAAGTTGAAATGAAGTGGAAAATTAGACCATCTGCATATATGTATACATTTCATATTCTGTACAAGTCTTTTTAATCATATTTTAGACTACATGAAACAAAATGGCTTTTGTATTCACTGTACAACTCCTCCATAACTTAATAAATACAGTTACTTTTTATTATACTTTTGATTCAAAAATACAATCAAGCAAAAGGCAAGATTGAAATTTGTGAGCTTAAATGCAATCAGTGCAGAGAGCTTGATGCTCTTGCTGAATGGGGAATTGTGGAGGCTCAGAATGACTACCTGCTTTGAAAATGGGGTTCCCTGCTCTTTCTTACCCAAGCCTTGACATTTACTGTTTTTTTTTTAGATGGTACTTCGCTCTTGTTGCCCAGGCTGGAGTGCAATGGCATGATATTGGCTCACTACAACCTCCGCCTCCTGGGTTCAAGCGATTCTCCTGCCTTAGCCTCCCGAGTCACTGGGATTACAGACATGAACAACCACACCCAGCCAATTTTGTATTTTTAGTAGAGACAGGGTTTCTCCATGTTAGTCAGGCTGGTCTCGAACTCCTGACCTCAGGTCATCCGCCCGCCTCGGCCTCCCTAAGTGCTGGGATTACAGGCATGAGCCACCACGCCCGGCCAATATTTACTGTTTATCTTCTCCTCCCCAACTCTTTTCTACCTAGAAGACAGTAACTTAAGCCTGCCTATATTTGAGAACAGAGTGGGTAAGGAAGCCCATTGTCAACTGCAGAATGTTTGAAATTGCATTATCCCTGAGTGTTTAATAGCAACATTTTCCTCTACTAAATAAATGCTGTATACACACACAGACACACCCCCAACACACACATACACACACACACACACACACACATACAAAAATACATATGTATTTATTTAAAACAGAAAAATATTATTTTTGTATTTTATGCTAAAAGATGTTTAAATCTTGAACTGAATTCACATATCACTTCCCATTCATTCATTTTTTAAGCTAAGAGTACAAACCTAAATGAAGCTTTTCTTAGTCATTTGAAAGCTGTCATGGTCCAATCACTTCTGAAGGAAATATTTTAGCAATTACTTTAGTCAATGTGCATGGCAATGGTCAGGGACTTTATTTTATTCAAAATAAGTGGCAGTCAATAAAGTATTGCAGATGATAGACATTTAGGAAACATTAGCTGAATTATTCAAAAAGAAGTACAAAGTTTCTACTAAATATATATATATATATATATTCAGTAGATATATATTCAGTAGATATGAATGTGTATATAGTGTCCGACTAAACAGTGCTTGGCTTATTATAACTGTAATATGACTAGATTTCTTCCATTTTCCTATATCATATTACATAAATTATTATTTATAAATCTCTAAAGGACCCATGGAATTTAATATAAATTATAACTATTTCACTTACAACCCACTTACAAACTCCTTTTTCTATGGACTTTCTGATAGTGTTTGCCTTATTTGAATAATAAAATTGTCCAGTAGGAGCTCATCACTCTAGACAGCAACAGGCATCTGCAGAGTTCATTAGAGATTGCTCCATAAAAATAAAAAATAAAAAAACTTCCTTTGCTGGGTCCCCCATGTGTTTCTTTTACAACTATAATGAGAGCTATTATCTACGAAGCGATGACTATTTTCCAGGTAATCAATAAAACTTAAAAATGGATATGTTATCTTAATGGGTACTGAAACTTAAAAAATAAAATCATAAATTGTCCAAAGACAAATTATTTGTAGATGGGAGAGATTCAAAGCCTGGTTCTCTTGCCCCAATGGCGTCTTCCCTTATCCTATAATAGTTTCTTATATTTTTTTTACAAGAGTTTCTTTAACCTTTATGATATCTTTGGCTCTGATGTGTTGTCTTCATTATATTTGCCCTTCCTGCCCACCATTCTCTTTTCCTGACCCAGCTGTGTTTTCTCTCCTGACGTGGTCCACGTGAATTGTGGTCACCTGCTATAATCGGCCCTCTCTCCTTTGGCCTGCAGACGTGGCCTGTAGAGAGTCCCACAGCCTCAGTGGGCACAGCCTGGTCTTCACAGGGCCCACTTTGCCCCTCCTAGACTCTAGGATCATTGTGACTGGAACAAGAATTAAAAGAAATTTAAAAATCTGTAAGCAAAAACTCAGTTGTATGTAAGAAAACTAACTATGCCTGAGGAAGAGAAAGAGCTGAAGTCCTTTAAAAATTGACTGTCTGTTTTTCTGTGGCTAGTGAGCCTTATCTCTCCCTTTCCCAGGCATTGTGAAGACCCTGTTTCTCTAGCTGTGCAGCTGCAAGGTCACTAGACAGATAATCTCAAGTCATAAAACATGTTGTTCCTTAAAAAGTAAGAAATAATGTAATGCACGTCTTAATTGAATAACTGTCTTTCTTTCTCGCTTCTGTAATACGCTTCCCCCTGCACAAATCTCCCCCCGCCCCACAAAATGGTTAAAAGGTAGCTTGACTCAGTCCTTTGGATGTTAATCCGATTGGGTCGGTGCAGGTAAATAATTAAATAATTCCTCCTCAACCCCTCGGTCTCTCTGATTCCTTAATTATCCCGCTGCATGACAACCATGACATAAGTCATAAATGAGGGGAACACTCATTCTTCGAGAATATGCACAATGGCTTTTAGTAAATTGGCAAACTTCAGCCCAAAATGACATTTGATTCTCTTCTAAGTAAGCAAAATCCACTGCAGTCTTAACATGTAACTAACTAGGTGAAACTTACTTTGTTACCAGTTCTTTTTGAGGTTTAACGGTTCTTTTGACATTTATTTTGCTTTAGAGAACAAAATGCTTTTGAAATTTTCATCTGAGATTACTAATTGAACCTAGAGAGAGCTGAATGATTATGCTATAAATCAGCCACATCAGCTATGACTTTCAGGGATAAGAAAATAAAAGAATGTGTATTTCTGGGATTCATATGAAGGAATTCATTGCATGTAAAATAACAACTTTTATATGCTAATGTCCCCAGAAAGTAAAGCTTTGGACTAAAAGAATCAATAAACAAAATAATTTGTTTTAAATTATAAAGCAATACAAACACACTGTTTAACAATAGAAATTACAGATGAACAAAAAGAAGAAAATGAAATTTGTTAGCAACTCCATATATAACTAGATAACCACTGAGTGGTTTGTAAATGTTAATTTTTTTTTTTTTTTGAGACAGGGTCTCACGGTGTTTCTCATGCTAGAGCGCAGTGGTGCAATCATGGCTCACTGCAACCTTGATCTCCCAAGCTCAAGCAGTCCTCCCACCTCAGGCTCCAGAGTAGCTGGGACTACAGGGGCGCACCAGGATTCCTGAGCTAATTTTTTTTAAATTTTTTTTTTTGTAGAAATGGGTCTATGTTGCCCAGACTGGTCTTGAACTCCTGGACTCAAGCAAATCCTCCCACCTCGGCCTTCCAAAATGCTGGAATTACAGGCATGAGCCACTCTGTCCGGCCTTAAATATTTTTCTGTACATGTGTTTTTAACACGAACACACTCATGAGGGTCACCTCCTGCACGAGTCCGAGAGGTATTCCATTATTTTGCACCAATACCACATTATCATAAACAATGTAGATTAAAAAAAAATCCTGATATTTTTATTTTTGAACAAACCCTCTGTTTACACTACTTCTTTAAAAGTAAATTGACCCTTTGGATCCTTTATCCTCTCTTCTCATATGAATCTTACATTTGTTTGTCAGCTTCTATGAAAAAATCACGGGACAATTTTTATTGAAATTTCATTGAATTGATAGATTGATTTGGCAAGAAGTTTTTGAAATCTTCCCATCTGCGGATATATTTGTTTAATCATTTACATTTTATATTAAGTCTTTCTATTTTTTTTTCAAATTATAAACGATGCTGCAATTATTTATTGCTATATTTCCATATAAATTCTTAATATTTCTTTAAACTAGAATGCAATTGTTGAGTTTGAGTAAAGAACATTTACTAATCTGTTAATTCATAATTAAACTAAGCATAGTAAAAACATGAATTTTTTAAGTAGTTTATTATTTTTCATATTGTATTAATACCTGGATTGTGTACAATTAGCAGTACTAGGCAGCTGAATTCAATGCCATGTTTGATTTGTTTATTTATTTACATATTTATTTTGCCATGTTTCCTTCTGAGAGAAAGCGCCTATAATTTCCTGGCATTCAGCTATCCAAATGTCGTGTCTGATGCCTGCACGTGTGATAGTAGAATAAACAACGGTCATATAGATTTACAGTTTATGCACAGCTCCAGAAGCTAAAATGCAATTAGGTAATGTGCCACAGTGGGGCTTCTAATATCCAAAGGATATGAATAAAATTAGCACAGAAATACATGTTTGTTTTCTTCAGGCTTACTTTTTTTTCTTTTTTCTTTATTTTAGCCAGGTATCTGTCACGATAAGAAAAAAGAAAGGAAATCAATTCTTTCATCAAAAAGTGGGGAAAACTAGAAGAAAGAATGATTTCCTAAGTAGGGAAAAATCAACTAAATAGAAAGAAATACAACTAACAGGAAAAGGATTATTCTTCACATTTAGCTAAGACGAAAGTTCATTAAACCATGAAATAGTAATCCATGTCCAAACTCTTCCCTACTACGTGCAACATAAGCATTTGAAGAAACTGTGAAGTTATTTCTTTATTTTTCTTGCTTTTATTTTTCATAAATGAATAGTTAATTGTTGCCATAGGATATAACTTAGAATAAATCATTTCTTCCACAAATATGTACAACACTTAATCAATGTCTTAAAATTAATAAACTCTGGGTTAACATAAAAATAAAGAAAATAGATTAAATTATTTGGATTTGAAAAAAGAGTATCTTACCTAAAACTGGAATTAAATGATGCAAGGCTATCACTGAGGAAATGAAAAACACACTTCATATTTAGTCTGCTACTTTCCTGATAAAAAGTGTTATAAAAATAATGCTGCTGATAAAATTGTGTATTTTCATAATTTGTTTATCTCATGGATGGTTTCTGTAACTGTCAATGTTATAGTTCTAATAGAACACATGGATGAAATTCTAATAAAAGAATCTCTTCTCTACAGAACTGCCCAATAGAACTTTCAGCAATAATAGAAATGTTCTTCTACACTACACAATACGGTAGCCACTTGCCACATAGGGCAATTGAGCACCTTAAAATGTGGCTAGTGTGGCTAAGGAACTTAAGCTTATTTCACTTTAGTTTAACTTTAAATTTAGCCACATGTGTTCAGTGTCTACCCTATTTGGAGGTGCAGCTCAAGAGAATTATTTCGAAAGGAAGGGTGTCGAGTGAAAACACTATGTATGATAGATGAATTATTTAGAGACTGAAAAACTTCACAGGGAATGGACAATGTCAGCCTTAAAATTGAGATTTGGAACTTTCATTCATTTTGTGACATTTAATATGTTGAAAATTCTCTGAAATGCTGTGAGGAAAACAAGTAGGAATTAGTACAGCTAACTTACTTTTAAAAATTCAAAATGTTAAAAAAAAAGTTTCAAAGTATTGATTTTTCCAGAATATTTTCCAAAGATATTTTAATATCAACTTTACGGATAATGTAGGAACATATGTGATTATGAATTATGTAATAATCCTGTCTATTTTTATACTTAAAAGAAAATATATTCTCATACCGTACTATTGTAAATTAAAAACTAGGTAAAAGCTAGCTAAGGAAACTGGATATTAGCTAACTGGAAGGTTAATATAATCCTATCACTAAATAACTCTTGATAGGCTACGATAATATTTTTCTTTTAATCTATCACCTGATGTAAAATTAAGGATAATGAATTTAAAACAATTATTTTAAATGAAAAGGACTGTATAGAAATGTAGGTTTAATTCTTATATTTCATAATAAAAACCTTTTTTCTAATACAAGAATTGGAAGCATAGGGCCTATAGTCTGAGATACAATTATATGCAGTCATACATACAATAAGGGAATCATGACTAACTGGTTCTTATAATGAGTTACTAGATAGATAGATAGATAGATACTATATATCTCTATATATAGTATTCAAGCAATTCTCCTGCCTCAGCCTCCCGAGTAGCTGGGATTACAGGCACGTGCCACCACGCCTGGCTAATTTTTTGTATTTTTAGTAGAAACTGGGTTTCACCATGTTAGCCAGGCTGGTCTCGAACTCCTGACCTCAGGTGATCTGCCTGCCTCGGCCTCCCAAAGTGCTGGGATTAAAGACATGAGCCACCATGCCTGGTCGTGATTTATTATATATATCTATATATCATTACATATATAATGATTTATTGTACAAATTGGTTCATGAGATTTAATAGCAACAAAAGTTCAAAATTAGCTAGAAATAACTCTAATACATTATAGTATATATATATTGATTTATTATAAGAATTGTTTGATGTGATTTTGGAAGATATATATATATATCCTATTCTGTTAGATATATCTACCTATCTATCTAGATAGATAGATATAGATAGATTCAACAGATATATCTATATCATATATATCTATATATCTATATCATATATATTTATATATATCTATATCATATGTATCTATATATATCATCTCTCTCTCTCTCTCTCTCTATATATATATATATATATATAGCTATATTTATCTCCTATTCTGTTTCTCTGGATAACACTGACTAATACAGAGTGTGACCAGAAGTGATATGTTTCATCTTCTCCTTGGGCATTGATACACTGGTTGTGCCTGTCACAGGCTGTCTTTGCCTGAATATAGATTAAGCTATGAAGCTATGACAATATTTACAATGCCTTGAGTAGGCATTCTTAACCTGGGGCTCATGAGAACCCAAAATTCTGTGGATAGAATTTTGGATCTGTGAGAGGAAAATTGTAGTTTTAATATTAGAAGTGTTTAACTGCAATTTAGCATTTCCTTCAATAATGAAGGTAAACTAAAATCTACATAAGAAGAAGTGTTTGAAACTGTACAGTATTGAAACTGCTTTGCAATTATAATTAGTTGTCTTTAAAATGACATACATTTTATTTTACGCACTTACTTTAAAGCATTATTCTGAGGCAGAGCCATAGCTTCACCAGATGGCCGAAGGGATTCACGAAATGGTTAAAGACCTCAAACACAGGGTATTGTGGAACAGGATGGGACAACCCTAGTTTCTGAAAGACTGGGTGGAGCAGAGCTTCTCCATCAACAAGGACCTTTCACATTGGTAGTGCTAGGTTTTAGAGATGGTTTGTTGTTTGATTTTTTTTCTTAAAGCAATTTTATTTCATTCCAACTAATATACATATATTACAAAGACCACAGCAGACATTGTATTCAGTGATGAAAAATTAGTGATATCACTATCAATGTCAACAAATCAGACAAATTAATGTCATAAAGATATCCTAATAAATGCAATAAGAAATGAATATAAAATAATAAAAATGGAACAATAGCAAAATATTAACAGTTGTTACAATTATCCATAAAAAAAAATCTAGATAGAAAGTGTTAAAATTAGTGATCATATTGAGTCTTACACAACAGAAATAGACAAAAAATGTAATCTTTAAAATTACATTTAAGTTTTTTCTTTTTTTCAGCGTCTTGCTCTTTCACCCAGGCTAGGGTGCAGTGGCGCGATCTCAGCTCACTGCAACCTCCACTTCCCTGATTCAAACAATTCTCATGCCTCAGCCTCCTGAGTAGCTAGGATTACAGGCATATGCCACCACGCCAGGCTAATTTTTTTTGTGTTTTTAGGTAGAGACGAGCTTTCACCATGTTGGCCAGGCTGGTCTCAAATTCCTGGTCTCAAGTAATCCACCTACCTCAGCCTCCCAAAGTGCTGGGATTATAGGTGTAAGCCACCGGGCCCGGCCTAAGATTTACTTTTTATTTTTTATTTTTTTTGAGGCAGAATCTCACCCTGTTACTCAGACTAGAGTGCAATGGCACTATCACCGCTCACTGCAGCCTTGAAATCCCAGGCTCAAGCGATCCTCCCATGTCAGCCTCCTGAGTAGATGTGAATATAGGCATGTGCCACCACACCTGGCTAATTTTTTTTTTTTATTGTTTTGTAAAGACGAGATCTCACTATGTTGCCCAGGTTTCTTTTGAACTCCTGGGCCAAGCAGTCCTCCCACTTCTGCCTCCCAAAGCATTGGGATTACAGATGTGAGCCACCGTGCTCAGCCCCAAGGTATTTTCAATAGCAACAGAAGTTCATAATTAGCTAGAAATAAACCTAACAACAAAAATGTAAAATTTATTAAAAGTAGAAACCTTTATTGAAAGACTTTAATATATTCTTAAATAAATGTTGAGATAGATCATGTTCCTATTTTTGAAATTATATCCATCCTGTCCGGTTTAGCCAGTAAACTCAATTTTAATTTAAATTGCATAATACTTCTGTGGTACTTTACAAAATGATTGTAGATTTTATTTTTTAAAAAGGAAAATGGATGGGGAGGGTATATCCCTTTCAAATATCAAGATTTTGTGTAAAGTGTCACACATACGCACCCACGGTGAAAATGACAATGTGACTGGAAAATAGAGCAACGGAATAGAATAGAGGAAGAGGAAACAAAAGCCTCTGTTCATAGAACTTTGAGGGAAAGCATTAAGGGAGAAACAGGTGAACTCGTAAATAAATCTGCTGGGACTACAGTTACTCATATGGAGAACCAAATTAACTTGATCCTCACCTCACATTAAGCATAAACATAAATTCCAGACAGATTAAAGAATGAAGTTTAAAAAGAAAAACTTTAAAACTTTTGGAATAAAAGATGAGAGAATTGTGTTATGAACTTAGATGAATGGAAGGATTTCTTAAATAAGATTCAGATATACAAACAGTAAGAATGTTCTTAATTAATATTTTTTCTTAATGAACCTTATTACATAAAAATGAAAATTCTAGATCTTGAAATAACATCTATAAAGTAAAAATTGAGCCAGCAATTTAAACTAAGACATTTGTAAAGCATAAAATTTAAAACTGATTTGTAGCTTTGGTAAATAAATAAATTATATTACCCAAAAAGAATTGGAAAACTAAAAAATAATTGATGAGGAATTCACGGAAGGAATCTGGATGAGGAAGAAACATGAAAATATGTTTCCTTTCACTAGTAGTCAGGAAAATGTTCATTAAAACAATAAGAATGTTGCCACACTAATCATAATGGCAACATTAATAAGTATGATAATAAAATATGTCCATGAGGATAAGAAACAAAAGGAACTCTTGAAGAAAAAGATTAAACAAAAATTACATTAAGATGGGTGATGAAGTTAAAATCTTCTAAGATAAGGTGAATTGTTTGAAAGTGATGGTAAAATACTATTTCTGGTTTTGGACTTGGCTAAAGGAAATATTCATGGTGGAAGTTCAAATGATCCACTGAAAGAATAGAAAGAGATCCTATAAATCCCGATACAGCAAAGGGAAAGAAAATGGAATCGAAAAAATATCCAACGATCTTCCTCAAAAGGGAGAAGAGAAAAATGCACAGAAAAATAAGGACAAATAGATGTAGAAACACAAATGACTATAAAAGCATCTGTGCCATGGCTGCTCTGGAATCAGACTGTCTGCGTTCATAGCTCATCTCTACCATTTACTAGCTGTGTGATCTTACACACATCACTTAACATCTCTGGGCTTCAAATTCCTCATTTTTAAATGGAAATATGCATAGTAAAAACACAAACAGTCTCTGGGAGGATTAAATATTATATTTGGAGAGATTAGATAGATAAATGATAGATCGATAGATAGATAGAAAATATATTTGTCAAAAGAAAATATCTTACAGACATTAAAAGAAAAATAAAAAGACCATGAGGTACACCATTTGAGAGCTTTAACCTGATCTTTGTCACATGGAAGTTTAGATACAGATAAGTCACTCAATCAACACTGAAGAGATATGGAGAAGTTGAAGAAGATCCAGACAAAAGTAATAAAGATATATTAGAGGGTAGAAAATTAGGCCCTTAAGAAAATATGTAGTTACACAGGCTGTAAAGTGAAAAAAAATTAAAATTTCAATCAACGACAACTTTCAAGTTATATAAATTCTAGGAGGAAATAGTGGATTAGAGCTCTTTAAGACAAATGATAACTAAAATAGAGAAAAATACTTTAAAATACAACTTTTTGGGCTGGGTGCAGTGGCTCACGCCTGTAATCCCAGCACTTTGGGAGGCTGAGGTCAAGAGATCGAGACCATCCTGGCCAACATGATGAAACCTCGTCTCTACTAAAAATACAAAAATTAGCTGGGCGTGGTGGCACGCGCCTGTTGTCCCAGCTACTTGGGAGGCTGAGGCAGGAGAATCACTTGAACCTGGGAGGCGGAGGTTGCAGTGAGCTGAGATTGTGCCACTGCACTCCAGCCTGCCGAGAGGGTTAGACTCTATCTAAAATAATAATAATAATACAAGTTATTAAGATTTAGAAGAAATTATTATTAAAATTATTTTTTATTAACCACCTATTACGTGTAGAGTCTACTAAAGCAGGCCATAAACATAAAAAGAAATATATGACATAGTCCTTGATCTAAAATATGCCTCAATAAGCAAGTTCTTATTGTTTATTGAAGACGGTTTTGTAGCAGATAATCTTGTAGAAGGTGAAGGGGAAAAATAAAGAACAACAAAAGTGTCTTTCAGCTCCAGAATATATGTCATTTTTCATTCTCTCTTACATATACACACAAGCTAGAGCTTGCAAGCCAAAATTCTAAAACTTTATCTGTATACGAATCAATAGGAAAGTTGCTAAACATTCTGACTCTTTGCCCCACCCCCAGGATTCTGATTCAAACTTGTGATTGAAGGAGATATTGGGAGATGAATTTTTAATAAGCAACAAGGAATTAATGTCTTAGTTTAGAGATTAAAAGGAATTTTTATTATCTCTCATAGAGATCATTATCTAAAAGTGTTTAAGAATCTATCTACTTATAATTCTGTCAAATTTTACACAAAAATTTCAAATTTGAAACGACAAATATGACACATATATAATGTATCACATATGATACTGTTTTATGATAAAATTAACTTTTTTACCAAAATATTTCTAAGGAAATTGGAAAGAGTACTTTGGATGATATTTTTCTGATTTCTTCTAGTTTTAAAATATAGTTTTTCCTACTAGAAAGAAATTTAGATATTCTGGGTTTGAAACTTCAATATTTTGAAAGGATTATATGTGCAACTCTAAATTATTTAGGGCACTCATATCCCAAAATAGGATGAATCATATAGATTAAAAAAAGAAAAAATCTCTGAACATTACTGCTGCCTCAGGTCAGGTGACTTTTATTCTCTACTTCCTCCCCACTGCACAGTAGAGGTCTTTGAACATCCCATGCCCTCTAACCCCAGTCTCCTATTCATGCTGCTTCCACCATTTCAACCACCTCCTATATTTCCATGCTTTCATTTATGTTTTACCTGTCTTTCAAGACTCAACCTGATTGATCTCATCAAATGTTTGACTCTTTCATAGAATCTTCCGTATCTTATTATAACAATTATCTTTTAAAAATTATCCCTCACTAATATGAGAGTTCCTTAAAGACTCTATAATATTCATGTTTGCAACCCCAATTTCTAGGTTAGTAAGTTCTAGGCAAATATTAAATGAAAGAGTTAGAGCAGGAATGGAACAGTGATGTTATTTAAACTCCACAGTGTAGTCTAGTCTCCATCCATCTACTTATTCATTCAACAAATATTTGCTAAGCACTTATATGTGCCAGACACTTTTCCAGCCAATGTTGGTTTAACAATAAACAACAAATCAACAAACACAAAAAAATACCTAGTCCCCTGGAATTCACTTTGAAGTGGAAAGAGACAAGCAATAAACAAGTAAAGTATGTGATATATTCAATGGTGATAAGTGCCATAGAGAAATAAAGTGGGAAAGTGGGATGGATAGTTTAAAAACAATATGAAGAGAGATGGCCTCACAAAGAGTTATATTTTAGTAGAAAATTGAAGAAAATAAACAGGAAGTCTATCTAGGGAAAAATTTCTAGGCATTTAACAGCAAGTGCAAATTATTAATTAAAGCTTATACTTTACTCAGGTTTTTTAGTTTTTACCTAATGGAATTTTTTCCCAGGATACCATATTGCATTTAGCCATCATGTCTTCTTGGGCTCCTGTTGGCTATGACAGTTTTACAGACTTTCCAAGGAGTTTTTTTGATGCTCTTGACAGTTTTGAGGCATGCTGGTCAGGTATTTAGTAGAATGTTAATCAACTGGGATTTTTCTGATGTTTCCCTGATGACTAGACTGGACCTATGTGTTTTTTGGAGGATGACCATTTACCAACAGTTGAATCTAGTAGGCTTTGAAATTTCATTTACATTGACTCTTAAGATTTAAGAATGAGGTCTGAGACAAACCACACAGAAGAAAGAGTAAGGTGAGAGGACAACGGAATTGAAACCTGGCTTAGGATTCACTGCCTAATGCAATACAGGTGATAGGAAAACTATTCACCTATAAATAGAAAGCATGACAAATTCTACCAATGTGATGACTTTCATAATGATTTATAAATACCTGGGACCATGGGCAGACAGAGCATGGTACCAAGAAAGCCAAGCAGTGATGAATAATCTGGAGTCAGACAAGTACTTACCTGTCATAGAGAAGATTAGGCCTAAAGCTAAGGTAAACAAAAAGTGTTAGACCTGAGGAAAGGCAAAAGGGAAAGAGATAAATAAGATATACAGGACATGAAAGAGGCCTTAGCACTAGCGCTATCAATTCATTTCTTATCTCAGAAAAAAATCTTGCTAAACGAGCTTAGATTGAGTCTCTAGGGGACTTCAGTAGAGCAAAATAGGAGAAGCTAGAGAAAGGGTTTTAGGGGACGACTGCATAGTTCAATTGACCTAGTGAATTTTAAAAACATGGAGTATATCCAGAGCTGGAATAACCATATGCTATAGTTTTAAATATATTTGTACTCGGATTCCTTTCCAATAACAAAAGTTTAAGCAAAGATTTGGTTTGTAAAATACAGAAAAGCTAGTGCAAGATTAAAGCTAAGTGGTTCACAGGTCCAAAATCTACTCATAGGTATTGGTAGCCTTTGCATCAGACTTGGAGGCTTCTGTGAAACTCCTTGAAACACAGGTTGAAAACTAATGATTTGAAGATTTTCTCTTCATAGGCACAGAAACTGAGGCCCAAACATAACATCACTAGTCAATGAAAAACTTTGAAAAAAATATTAATAAGTCACAGTATATTGAGTGTACTTCTAGATACTTATGCCCCTTCCATTCATCCCATTAATCCATTAGGCATTTTTAATATTTAACATCATAAAAAGAATATTTAGAATGGTAGAATATCTGTGTTGCTGGCAGAACTTAATAATAACTACAAAGGTCAATCAATGTTGATAACAAGAAACCATTTAACCATTAGTATAAGCCAAGTGCAGTTAAGAAATTCAGAAATATTTCTCGCATTTTTCTCTCAGACTTCTTATTTTAACACTAAAAGGTATGCTAAATGAGAATTACTAAAACATACTTTATACAAGGTTCTATGGTGACTGGGTTGATCTTAGGATAGGCGAAAGAGGATTCTTGGCCAAAGAGACTTTATTATCTTTCTAGGATGTAAGAATCCACAAAATGAGGTCATTCCTCCCTGCCTGTCTGTCTCTGTCTCTTTCCTTGTACCTGCCCTTACATGTAAAGTATGTGCAAATATATGATTACATTAATTATTTTATAAAACAGCTCTGTAAGAAAGGACAGATTAGTGCCATATCAAAGAATACCTTTATTTATTCATTAAGAGAAATGATACATTTGAATATAAATTTTAAAAATGCTACTTGCAACTACAGAACTGGTTGGCATGGTGGTAAAAAAATGACAAAAATACCAAAAGGACCATTGAGAGAAATATTGAATGGCACGTGTTAGTAACTAGATGGATGGTAGTATAAACTAGAAATTTGAAAACTCTCTTTGTCCTGACTCTCATTATTTCCAGTTCTTGAAAAAAACTCATTTCTAATTTTATACTTTGGGGCTATAATGGCAGTATAGAGATTATTTTAATTTTTGCAATAAAAAGTATATGCAAACAAAATAAACTTATTTTTTTTTATTTTTATTTTGAGACCGAGTCTCGCTCTGTTGCCCAGGCTGGAGTGCGGTGGTGCGATTGTGGCTCACTGCAACCTCTGCCTCCCGGGTTCCAGTGATTCTCCTGCCTCAGCCTCCCAAGTAGCTGGAATTACAGGCACGTGCCACCACACTCAGTTAATTTTTGTATTTTTTAGTAGAGACAAGGTTTCACCATATTGGCCAGCCTGGTCTTGAACTCCTGACCTCATGATCTGCCTGCCTCAGCCTCCCAAAGTGCTGGGATTACAGGTGTGAGTCATGGCACCCAGGCTAAAATAAATTATTTTAATACTTTTTAAAGTTATATAAGAAAGATTAGATTGGAATTATGGTAAAGAATAATGCTTCATTAGAATCTATATCATATTCAAAAAGACTTGCACAATTTTTAAAGTATGTACATGAATTATTAACTGTTATTGCATCTCTAATGAACAGAAATGATGATTACTCTATAATAGTAAGCAAGCTCTGAAAGCCTAAATCATGGTCTGTCATTCTAAAATATTGGTCCAACCTGTTTCTGTACCCTTGCATAGAAATATATTATGAAATTATAAAATTGATAATATGCTTTGTCGACTTTCTATAATCCCAACATAATTTAATATTTTAAGAATTAAAATTAATATTTTAGCAATCAACAATTGTCTTTGAAATACTCATTAAACATGTCTGGTGGGTAAACTATAGATTCTGGGATTCTCGTTTCAGGTCTGTGATTAAATTAAATTTAACAAATAAGTTAGATGAGATTCTTACCAAGGAGAAGAGACCCACTGGGTTTATTTGTTTACATTTTCTTTTCCAGATGAAGTAAATAATAGCACAAGTTGCGCTATTACCATAAGACACTTCCGAAATAGAGCATCTGAGCTGTTCTTCGGAAATGTACAAAGGAAAATAAAAGCAAAAGCAGGAGATATTTGTAAATATTCTTGCAGGAATGCTGCTAGACAAACCATCTTCATGATACATATGAAGTTTGATTTTCTCTCAGGTATATTCTGTGTTGTAGAGAGAGTAGGAAAAATTACATAATTGAAAAATAGAATATAAAATGGTTAGAAACCCCCAGAAGAAATACCAAGAGCTTTAAAATTCTATGAAAATTAAACTTTGGTTGTTTTATTTTTAAGATTAAAAAATCTGTGCCTCAAGACCAAAATAGCATAGACAGTTCATTGCTAATAACTATAATTCAAAAGTATGAAAGGGGAAAACAAGGGAAAGATATGCCACCATTCATGGTAGATCTGAGCAATAGACATATTATAGTCAAGAATGCCACAATTCTTTCACATCAAAATGAGAAAGGGAAGTAACATTTTATATGTAAAGGTCAAGTACATATATAATCAAAGGATTATGTCAAGATAGACGGACCTGTCATTAAAGTATCTATATAATCACACAGATATGGCTAATGACTGATCAATATTTGTCTTAGATTAAAAATAGCACTTGCAAATCTAAGCAAGAATGCACAACTAAAATAAAATTTGTAAGAAACCAAATTGTGCTAGAATTATACAATAATTTCGAGATAATTATCTGGTTCCTATCATTTTTCATTTTTACAGCTTACTTAAAAATTTTTTGCTTTTATTTTTGTTTTTAATGGACACATAGTAATTATACATATTTATGGGGTACAGTGTGACATTTCAATACATGTATCCAATGTCTAATTATCAATGGTTTCTATCATTTTATTTTATGAGTTTTTGTTTCTTAGCTATAATCTTTTTTTTTTTTTTTACTATTTTTTTTTTAATTTTTTTTTTTTTATTATACTCTAAGTTTTAGGGTACATGTGCACATTGTGCAGGTTAGTTACATATGTATACATGTGCCATGCTGGTGCGCTGCACCCACTAACGTGTCATCTAGCATTAGGTATATCTCCCAATGCTATCCCTCCCCCCTCCCCCGACCCCACCACAGTCCCCAGAGTGTGATATTCCCCTTCCTGTGTCCATGTGATCTCATTGTTCAATTCCCACCTATGAGTGAGAATATGCGGTGTTTGGTTTTTTGTTCTTGCGATAGTTTACTGAGAATGATGGTTTCCAATTTCATCCATGTCCCTACAAAGGACATGAACTCATCATTTTTTATGGCTGCATAGTATTCCATGGTGTATATGTGCCACATTTTCTTAATCCAGTCTATCATTGTTGGACATTTGGGTTGGTTCCAAGTCTTTGCTATTGTGAATAGTGCCGCAATAAACATACATGTGCATGTGTCTTTATAGCAGCATGATTTATAGTCCTTTGGGTATATACCCAGTAATGGGATGGCTGGGTCAAATGGTATTTCTAGTTCTAGATCCCTGAGGAATCGCCACACTGAAATAAAAGAGGACACAAACAAATGGAAGAACATTCCATGCTCATGGGTAGGAAGAATCAATATCATGAAAATGGCCATACTGCCCAAGGTAATCTACAGATTCAATGCCATCCCCATCAAGCTACCAATGACTTTCTTCACAGAATTGGAAAAAACTACTTTAAAGTTCATATGGAACCAAAAAAGAGCCCGCATCGCCAAGTCAATCCTAAGCCAAAAGAACAAAGCTGGAGGCATCACACTACCTGACTTCAAACTATACTACAAGGCTACAGTAACCAAAACAGCATGGTACTGGTACCAAAACAGAGATATAGATCAATGGAACAGAACAGAGCCCTCAGAAATAATGCCGCATATCTACAACTATCTGATCTTTGACAAACCTGAGAAAAACAAGCAATGGGGAAAGGATTCCCTATTTAATAAATGGTGCTGGGAAAACTGGCTAGCCATATGGAGAAAGCTGAAACTGGATCCCTTCCTTACACCTTATACAAAAATCAATTCAAGATGGATTAAAGATTTAAACGTTAGACCTAAAACCATAAAAACCCTAGAAGAAAACCTAGGCATTACCATTCAGGACATAGGCGTGGGCAAGGACTTCATGTCCAAAACACCAAAAGCAATGGCAACAAAAGCCAAAATTGACAAATGGGATCTAATTAAACTAAAGAGCTTCTGCACAGCAAAAGAAACTACCATCAGAGTGAACAGGCAACCTACAACATGGGAGAAAATTTTCGCAACGTACTCATCTGACAAAGGGCTAATATCCAGAATCTACAATGAACTCAAACAAATTTACAAGAAAAAAACAAACAACCCCATCAAAAAGTGGGCGAAGGACATGAACAGACACTTCTCAAAAGAAGACATTTATGCAGCCAAAAAACACATGAAGAAATGCTCATCATCACTGGCCATCAGAGAAATGCAAATCAAAACCACTATGAGATATCATCTCACACCAGTTAGAATGGCAATCATTAAAAAGTCAGGAAACAACAGGTGCTGGAGAGGATGTGGAGAAATAGGAACACTTTTACACTGTTGGTGGGACTGTAAACTAGTTCAACCATTGTGGAAGTCAGTCTTAGCTATAATCTTTTATGCTACCAATGATTAATAAACTAAATTAATAAAAATTGACAAACTACTTCTAAATACTTATTGAAAGGAGAGCAGCTTTCTTGTAAAGATGTTTCTTAGTTATAATATTCTATGCTGCCAATGATTAATAGACTAAAATTAATAATAATTAATAGACTAAATTAATTACTTCTAAATCCTTATTGGAAGGAGGGCAGCTTTCTTTTTAAGATGTGCATTTGTAAATTAGTTCAAAATGTAAGAATTTTTTTTGAAATAGAGTTATCCAAAAGCAACAAGTTCCCAGCTTATTTCAGCCAAATAAAATGTCTTTCTCCTTTGAGCTCTCATAAAAATGTATCTCTTAAAAACAAAACTACCAAACGTTAATTTTAGTGAAATTTAAAGCTCTTGCTGTCTCTTCTGAATTTTATAATCATTTTTCATGGACCTTAACATTATCTACATTAAATTATATTTTTAAACATGTCTTATCTCTTCAGTCACGCTTTATATACTAATTTAATTTTTATTTCCCTTCCCTCATATTTGCAGATATCGCCAAAAAGGTAAATATTTTTGAAATACTTGTTATGTGACTGAATATCCTCTAGTTTATTTGATCTGAAAATCTGAATTTTTATCTATTGAGTTTGCTTATGGACATTTACTAATACATAAAATACATCATGAAAACATGTTATCTAAATTTATTAGTTTCTAGAAAAGTTACTCTCCACCTGTTGTTACTTCTAGGAAAGATACCAAGAGAAAGGAAAAAAAGTTTTATATAGAGATAATTCTTTAGAGAAATTCAATAAAATTTATTTCATAAATGCTGGTCTGGTAAACATATTTTCTTTGTCTTTAATGGCTTTTAATCTTTACAAGAATAATTTTCCAGAGTTATGCTTTATATTATTGTTTTAAATCACTTAAGATATGATAGCTTCTAAATATTAATGACATTTGACTTATTGATACAGAATAATTATCCTCTTTTGAAGGTTAACAGTGTAAACCTGAAAGACTATGTTATTAGGTAAATCCTCACCTGGTCCTTGACATTTCTTGATACAACAAACTAAATCATGTCCATTAATGAATGACCCTTCACTGCCATTGAAATTTTTGAATTTTAGAGATATATTAGATGTGTACAGAAATAAATTAATTCATGTATTCTTATAACTTTTGTCATATTTTTTTAAAAATTATGTTGGAATGGAGATACCAGGCAATGAAAAGTTCATAGTATTCTACATGTGGGCCTCCCTAATTGGTGTGTGTTTCTTGGTGGTAATTATGGGAGTGAAAGAAAACATACATAGATAAAATACGCTTCCGAGTACTGAGGATACTGAATTAGATGCTGTACTAGATGGTGTTGTGTCCCACTCAAATCTTTTATCATCTGCTGTGGTGAGTGTCAGCTGCTCTCAGTTCACAAACATCCCCTTTCTCTTAGAATTCACCCTTGGCAGACAAGAATCCCTTCCAGCAGAAGATTATTTTACCTTCCCCCAGGAATAGCCCACATTCAAAGACTGACAAGGTACTGCAAGAGATTGCCCTAATGCTAAAAGGGAAGTCAACCTGTAGGGTGATTTATGTGGATTAGGCCAAGTGAAGAGTTTACCTGAGAACACATTATTTCTTGGCCCTCCCATTCTGTAATGTGCTTCCTTCATTCCCTTATGGAAGAAAAGAGAGAGAGAGAAGGAAAAGGGAAAAGAAGGGAAGGGTAGGGGAAGGGAAGAGAGGGGAGGGGAGGGGAGGAAGGAGGAGAAGGAAGGAAGGAAGGAAGGAAGGAAGGAAGGAAGGAAGGAAGGAAAAAGGAAAAGACTCACCTTACAGAGTCTTTGTCTCAGTCTTTGCTTCTAGGGAATCTGAACTAAGAGGGTTGTTACCAGAAGTATTTCTGGGAAGCACACTATAAATGAATTGTTCCCTCTCCAGCCTTCCATTCTGCAACCACCCACCGAAATGTTTAACACCCTCAGGATGCATTTCTGCACATGTTCCTCAGGTTCTTACGAATGCATATTAGTCAGATCCCGCAATTCCTTGTATATTATTTATTCCCAAATTTGGCTTGTAATTACCCATCTGAGCAGTGGTGCTGAGACTTGACTTTGACGGTCACACTGGAGAAAAGGTCTTATACAGTAAAAGGGGGCTGTTTCTGTTGAAAAGTTGAATTCAGGATAATTTCAGGGCCTCAAGATTATCAGATTTGTCTACCTAAATGTGTTCATTCCAGTTGTAGCATCCTACTCTTTCCCTGTCATGGTCTTGATTTAACACAGGAGAGCTACTGCCAACCCATGTTAGTCTTCTTTTCAGACCCGGCCCCCTGGTAGTTAGAATCTTGGCCAGATTATCAGCAGTCTGCCAGAAGTGGCCAGAAATGCAAGACCCTTTAAAGCTGTCAGAAGTACTCTGGATTTCAGAGGCTGTCTTGAAGTGGAAATGGACTGTCCCACGCCCATCATTCTCATTTTCTAAGTCCTTTTTTGGTACCAAAGGGAATAATCTTTTTTCACAATTCTGATAATTGTTCCCTGTTAAGTGCCACAACCATATGATCTTACTAAACTTACTCTTGTTGAAAGAGAAAGCTTAGGCACATTAAATTTAACAGAGTTTAATTAAGGAAAGAACAATTTAGGAATGGGGCAGTCTCTGAAGCAGCATAGGTTCAGAGAGGGTCCAGCACAGCTGTGTGGTTGAAGATTTGTAGACAGAAAATGGAAGAAGGTACAGAAACAGCTGATTCGTTACGGCTCACATTTGCCTTATGTGAACATGGTTTGAACAGTTGGCTGCCTTTGATTGGCTAAGATTCAGTGATTGTCACAAGAGTAGGTTACAGTCTGTTTATACATCCAGTTAGGTTACAGTTCACTATATACAGAGAAACCTTTAGGCTAAACTTAACGTCCTCTTCTTGCACTTTACTTCAGTTAAACAGAGGTGAATGTCTAATAATTGTGCTCCAGCTGCATTCCCAGTTAGTCTTCTACTACTATCCACAAGGGATGCTTTTAGATAGGTGAGCTATCCAACTCTAAATTTCATCCTGAAGATCTGTTTTCTAGATTCATTCCACAAACTAATCATATTAACCCACATTTTCTGAATTAGAAGCAGAAGTTGAGGTAGAGATTAAAATGCTGATACTTTATTTGAGAGGTAAAAGCCCTAGTAGAAAACATAGAGTCAAAACAAAAGAGTAGAAGAAAATGACACAATGTATGATCACACTGGTTACAGTTTGACAAACAGCCATGAAGAGATACAAAGTCACTAAGAAGCTGTGATGGTTAATATTGAGTGTCAACTTGACTGGATTGCAGGAGGTGAAGTATTGTTCCTGGGTGGATCTTTGAGGGTGATGTCATAGGAGATTAACATTTGCATCAGTGGACTGGGACAGGCAGACCCACCCTTAATCTGGGTGGACACCATATAATCAGCTGCTAGTGTGGCTAGGATAAAATTGGGCAGCGGAACTTGGAAAGACTAGACTGGCTGAGTCTTCTGGCTTTCATCTTTCTCCCAAGCTGGGTACTTCCTGCCCTCGAGCATTGGACTTCAAGTTCTTCAGCTTTTGGACTCTTGGGCTTACACCAGTGGTTTGCCAGGGGCTCTTGGGTCTTTGGCCACAGACTGAGCGCAGCACTTCGGCCTCCCTGCTTCTGAGGTTTTGGGACTCAGACTGGCTTCCTTTCTCCTCAGCTTACAGATGGCCTAGTTTAGGACTTCACCTAGTGATCCTGTCCGTCTAGAGAACCCTGACTAATACAGAAGCTAAGTTCCTTCAACAACTGAAACCTCTGGAAAAAAATTCAAAGAGGAAGCATATTTAAGTCTAGTCCACTGAAGAGAAAACAGAGGGAGAACTTACCTGCTCAACTCGTTCCCATCATCTGTTTCCTGTGTTGTCCAAGTTTCACTCAAGGAAGCAAATGCCTCTACACTTCCTGGGTGCATCATCTGTTCTCTTTAGCAGCAACTCAAGACGCTGAATACCACTCATTCAGGATGTCACAGGGGAGGGAGAAGAATCAATATGTTTATTTGGGATAGGACTTTTATTCACAAAGATTCTTAAATATTAACACGACGTTATGCTCAAAGGAAGTTATAATAAATATTTTATTTTAAAAATAAATAATATACTATATATAGATAATACATTTATTTCATGTTTATGAAATATGCATATTGAAAATCATAATTTATCAAATACAAACATTTAAAGATGCTGTATGTTATGGATGGAATTGCCTCCCCATCTCAAATTCTTGCTTTGAATCCCTAACTTCCAAAGTGACTGTAGTTGGAAATGAGGGTTTTAAAGAGGTAGTTAAGGTTAAATGAGGCTGTAATCTAATATAACTGGTGTTTTCATAAGAAAAGGAATTTCCAGTTCAACCACTGTGGAAGACAGTGTGGCGATTCCTCAAGGATCTAAAACCAGAAATATCATTTGACCCAGCAATTCCATTACTGGGTATATACCCAAAGGATTATAAATCATTCTACTATAAAGACACACGCACATGCATGTTTACTGCAGCACTGTTCACAATAACAAAGACTTGGAACCAACCCAAATGTTCATCAATGATAGACTAGATAAAGAAAATGTGGCACATGTACATCATGGAGTACTATGCAGCCATAAAAAAGGATGAATTCATGTCCTTTGCAGGGACATGGGTGAAGCTGGAAACCATCATTCTCAGCAAACTAACACAAGAACAAAACCAAACACAGCATGTTCTCACTCATAAGTGGGAGTTGAGCAATGAGAACACATGGACACAGGGAGGGAAACATCACACACGGGGGCCTGTCGGGGGGTGGGGGGCTAGGGGAGGGCTAGCATTAGGAGAAATACCTAATGTAGATGACAGGTTGATGGTTGCAGCAAACAACCATGGCACGTGTATACTTCTGTAACAAACCTGCATGTTCTGCACATGTATCCCAGGACTTAAAGTATATTAACAACAACAACAACAAAAGACCAGGATTATCAGAAAACAAAACAAAACAAAACAAAACAGAATGAATTTCCAATGTTATGCAAACCAGGGATGTGTGCACACAGAGGAAAGGATAGATGAGGATACAAGGAGATGGCAAGTCATGAAGAGAGGGCTGTGGAGAAAGCAAACCTGCCAACACTTTGGTCTTGGATGTCTAGCCTACAGAACTGTGAGAAAATAAGTTTCTGTTGTTAAGCCACTCAGCCTGTGGTGTTTTGTTATGGCAGCCTTAGCAAACCAATATGCTGTATAACACTTATTGTCTTCTGTTTTGATTTTTTTCAATTTCTATTAATAGTCTAATAGTTTTCTCCAATTTCTATTAATAATCTGTCCCACCAAGATATTAATATATTTAAATCTATCTCCAATGTGATGGTATTAAAAGTTAAGGTCTTCAGGAAGTGATTAACTGATGAAGGCAGAGCCCTCGTAAATGGAATTAGTGTCTTTATAAAAGAGGCCTGAGGGAATTTACCCCTTCCACTGTGTGAGGACACAGTGAGAGGGCATCATCTGTACACCAGGATTTCTATTTCTACATACTTCTTTTAGGTCAGGAGTTCAAGACCAGCCTGACCAACATGGTGAAACCCCCTCTCTACAAAAATACAAAAATTTGACAGGCATGATGGCGGGTGCCTGTAATCCCAGCTACTTGGGAGGCTGAGGCGGGAGAATCACTTGAACCCAGGAGGCGGAGGTTGTAGTGAGCCGAGATCTCGCCACTCAAAAACAAAAACAAAAATCCTAAGACAACTTTTTATTTTTACATTTGTTTGATCTCCCAGACAAAGCATACATAGATATAATTATTTTATGGTTATGTGGTTGCTATTTTGTACTCAGTTTCTTCATATTATAATAAGTATTTCATTGTTTGAGTATTATGTTAATCCTATTTCTTGGCTTCATATTGTTCTTGATGTTGGTCTGCCATAATTCAATTTGTATTTATCATTGTTATTAAAGTTAGTGTGTATTTGCCATAAGTATTTTTTTTTTATTTTCAGAAATGCACTTTGTCAACTTATCTTTTGGGAACTTGAATGTCTTGTAAATGTCATTGAGTCACTTAAATAGTCTAGGATTAATTCATTTACTTAAATATTTGATATAACATTTAGTTTTTTAATAAAATACTGATTTACTTAAGATTTGAATATTTCAATCTTTGTGTTTATGACTGAGCTATCACTTCAATATGGGAAATTTCTTATTCTTCCCCAGATTTGATCAATTCATTAACCCTAAATTATTGGACATACATTTTCCTTTTTATTTCTATGATTATGCTTTGCTGTTATGTTATGAGCCAACATAATTTTTTAAAATTATTTTCCGCCAGGCGCAGTGGCTCACGCCTGTAATCCCAACACTTTGGGAGGCTGAGGCTCGTGGATCACAAGGTCAGGAGATCAAGACCATCCTGGCTAACACGGTGAAACCCCGTCTCTACTAAAAATACAAAAAGTTAGCTGGGCATGGTGGCACACGCCTGTAGTCCCAGCTACTCAGGAGGCTGAGGCAGGAGAATGGCTTGAACCCGGGAGGCAGACGTTGCAGTAGTGAGCTGATATCATGCCACTGCACTGCAGCCTGGGCGAAAGAGCAAGACTCCATCTCACAAAAAAAAAAAAAAAATTATTTTCAAGTCATAACCTAAATTTCAATTAATAAGTACTGAATAAATAAAGTATAATTCATACATCCAAATGAGCAATGCAGCCTCTAAAAAGAATGAAATAGATTAAAGTATTCTTTTTTTCAATATATTTTTATTTCCATAGGTTATTGGGGAACAGGTGGTGTTTGTTTGCATAAATAAGTTCTTTAGTTGTGATTTGTGTGATACTGGGACATCCACCACCTGAGCAGTATACACTGCACCTATTTGCCGTCTTTTATCCCTCACCCCCTTCCTACCCTTTCCCCCTGAGTCCCCACAGTCCATTGTGTCATTCTTATGCCTTTTTGCATCCTCATAGCTTAGCTCCCACTTATGGGTGAGAACATACGATTGTTTGGTTTTCCATTCCTGAGTTACTTCACTTAGAATAAGAGTCTCCCATCACATCCAGGTTGCTGTGAATGCCATTCATTCATTTCTTTTTATGGCTGAGTAGTATTCTATTGTGTGTGTGTATAAATATATTTATATATAAAAATATGATACTATATATATAGCATATATTTTCATTACATATATAGCATGTATTTCCATGGATTTGAATCTTCTTTTTGCAGTTGATTTCCAGTTTTATTTCACTGTAGTCTGAGGGAGTGCTTGGTATAATTTCAATTTTCTTAAATTTATTTATGCTCGTTTTGTGTCCTATCATGTGGTCTATCTTGGAGAAAATTCCATGTGTTGTTGAATAGAATGTGTATTCTGAGGTTATTGGATGGAATGTTCTGTACATACCTTTTAAGTCCATTTGTTCCAGGGTATAGTTTAAATCCACAGTTTTTTTGTTGACTTTCTATCTCGACGACCTGTCTAGTGTTGTCAGTGGAGTATTGAAGTCTCCCACTATTATTGTGTTGCTGTCTATGTCATATCTTAGGTCTATTGGTAATTGTTTTATAAATTTGGGAGCTCTAGTGTTAGGTGAATTTATGTTTAGAATTGTGATATTTTTACTGTTGGACAAGGACTTTTATTATTATATAATGTCCCTCTTTGTCTTTTTTAATTGTTGTTGCTTTAAAGTTTGTTTTGTCTGAGATAAGAATATACTCCTGCTCGCTTTTGGTGTCCATTTGCCTGAAATGTCTTCTTCCACCCCTTTACCTTAAGTTTCTGTGACTCCTTCTGTTAGGTGAGTCCCTTAAAGGCAGCAGATAGTTGATGGGTGAATTCTTATCCATTCTGCAATTCTGTATCTTTTAAGTGGAGCATTTAGGCCATTTACATTAAATGCTAGTATTGAGATGTGAGGTACCTTTCCATTCACCATGCTGTTTGTTGCTTCTATACCTTGTTTTTTTGTTTTTTGTTTTTGTTTTTTAAATAGTATTTTTGTTATACAGGTTCTATGAGATTTATGCTTTATAGATGTTCTGTTTTGATGTGCTTCCAGGATTTGTTTCGAGTTTTAAAGCCCCTTTTAGCAGTTCTTGTAGTGGTGGCTTGGTAGTGGAGAATTCTCTCAGCCTTTGTTTGTCTGAAAAAGATTGTATCTTTCCTTCATATGCGAAGTTTATTTTCGCCAGATGCAAAATTCTTGGCTGATAATTGTTTCGTTTGAGGAGGCTGAAGATGGGGCCCCAATCCCTTCTAACTTGTGGGTTTTCTTCTGAGAACTCTGCTGTTAATCTGATGGGTTTTCCTTCATAGCTTACCTGGTGCTTGTGTCTCACAGCTCTTAAGATTCTTTCCTTTGTATTACCTTTAGATAACCTGAAGACAATGTGCCTAGGCAATGATCTTTTTGCGAAGAATTTCCTAGGTATTCTTTGTGCTTCTTGTATTTGGATTTCTAGGTCTCTACCAAGGCCAGGATAGTTTTCCTCAATTATTCCCCCAAATATGTTTTTCCAAACTTTTAGATTGCTCTTCTTCCTCAGGAACCCCTGTTATTCTTAGGTTTGGTCATTTAAAAAGCCCAGGCTTCTTTGAGACTTTGTTCAAATTTCCCTATTCTTCTTTCTTTGTCTTTGTTGGATTGGATTAATTTGAAGAACTTTTCTTCAAGCTCTGAATTTCTTTCTTCTATTTTTTTCAATTTTATTGCTGGGTCTTTCCAGAGCATTTTGCATTTCTATAAGTGTCTCTATTGTTTCCTGAAGTTTTGCTTGTTTTTTATTTATGCTATCTATTTCATTGAATATTTCTCCCTTCACTTCTTGTATTATTTTTTGGATTTCTTTACACTGGGCTTTGCCTTTCACTGGTGCCTCCCTGATTAGATAAGAACTAACCTTCTGAGTTCTTTTTCAGGTAAATCAGGGATTTCCTGGTTTGGATCCATTTCTGGTGAGTTAGTGTGATTTTTGTGGGGTACTATAGAACCTTGTTTTGTCATATCACCAGAGTTGGTTTTCTGGTTTCTTCTCATTTGGGTTGGCTCTGTCAGAGGGACAGAGCTTTGTCCCATGGGGTGTTCCCTTGATGTAGTACTCACCCCCTTTTCCTATGGATGTGGCTTCCTGAGAGCTGACCTGTAGTGATTGTTATCTCTCTTCTGGATCCAGTCACCCAGCAAGTCTACCAGGTTCCAGGCTGTTACCAGGGGTTGCCTGCATAGAGTCCTGTGATGTGCACTGTTTGTGGGTCTCTTCAGCCACGGATACCAGCACCTGTTCCGGTGGAGGTGGCATGGGGTGAAACAGACTCTGTGAGGGTATTGGTTTAATGCACTATTTTTGTGCTGCTTGGCCTCCTGCCAGGAGGTGACACTTTCCAGAGAGCAGCAGCTGTGGTAGTATGGAGAGGAACAGGCGGTGGGCAGGGCCCTCGAACCCCCTAGAGTATATGCCTTTATCTTCAGTTACCAGGGTGGGTAGGAAAAGAACATTGGGTGGGGGCAGAGTTGGGCGTGCCTGAGCTCAGATTCTCTTTGGGCATGTCTTGCTATGGCTGCTGTAGGGGATGGGGGTGAGATTCCCAGGTCAATGGAGTTATGTTCTTAGGAGGATTATGGCTGTCTCTGCTGTGTCATGCAAGATGTCAGGGAAGTGGGGGAAAGCCAGCAGTCACAGGCCTCGCCCAGCTCCCATGCAAACCAAAGGGCTGGTCTCACTCCCACCATGTCCCCTTCAACAGCACCAAGTCTGTTTCTAGGCAGTGGGCGAGTAAGGCTGAGAACTTGCTGCCTCCCAGCTGTGAAAGCAAGTATGGCTTTCCTTCTTCCCGCCTGTGGAGTCGGCACATCGGATTCATTTCCTCCCCCAGGTTCTGGCCAGGAGACTTCTCTATCATTTGAAATTGTTACAAAGTTCAGCTGGAGATTTTCTTCTCTTGGTGGCCAATTCCCAGTGCCTCTGGTCATCTGCGTGAAGGATCACTGTGAGGCCAGGCAGAGACAGCTTGCTAGGGAACCCAGTGAGCTCACAGGGTTTTTTCCACTGTTTTCTCTACCTGTGTATTTGGTTCAGCTCTCTAAATTGACTCAGCTCCAGGTAAGGTCAGAATCTTCTCCCATAATCTAGAACTTCAGTCTCCCCATTGGGGTGTGTGTTCCGGAGTAGAGGATCTCCATTTCCCACTTCTACAATTTAGGCACTCACAGTATTTGGGGTGTCTCCTGCATCCTGCAAGAGCAATCTACTTCCTTCGGAGGGTCTGTGAGTCCTCTTGCGTTTCCTGATTTATTCCTGCAGTCATTCTGAAGCAAAAATTCATGATGCGAGCTTCCACACGCTCCTCTGTCTGTCCAAGTCGGAGCTGTAATCTCTTCCTGCCTCCCATCTCCCATGATCTCCTGGATCCCCTTTAATATCTTGATGAGACAAGTTAATTTCTTTGGAGTCATGGATGGTTTGGAGTTGATGTCACTCTTCTAACCTTTTCTAGTAGCTCCGCAGGTTCTGCAGAAATGAACAAATAATTCAGTGCTGGTGTCAGGCTGATCAGTGTATGGCGACACTTCCCTTTCTCCCAGATGGTCTTATAGGTAGGCCAGATGGGCCACTTCTAGAAGCCACTAGATTAAACCATTCTGCTGTAGAAAGATAGTCATGATATTGAGTGACAAGATATATATATATAAGCATAAATAACACGATATCATTTGCTTAAGAAAATCAGACAACATTTAGGATTTTACTTATAAACTTCCTGAATTATACACGAGACATGATTAACATTATTTTTCTCTGGTGTGTCGAGAATGTAACCGGGAAGAGAGAGACAATTAGCAGAAATTATTTTCCATCTTTCAATTTTTGGGGGTAGGGAAAAACCCATGGTGATTATGATTAGCACGGGATACATCAAGAAAATGAAGCAAAGATAATAGAGAGCTTTACCATAATTTGCATTCTCATTTAAAATTAAGGGTTCTAGACTTTTTGTATTCTACTATCCTTTTATGACTCCATAAGAATTTATAATGTTCTTTAACTGACAGGCACAACTTTAGTAGAGTGCAAGTATAAAATAAAGTATGATTTTTTTAATACTCCAAAATAAAAGAAATTGGAGCATCCAAATATTTGACTTGGATATTTCTCAGTGTCTACAAGTAAATTAGGAGAGTCTCATCTTAGAATAATCCCCTTCTATAACCTTCACCTCCTCTACTGCCCTACTATTATATCTGTGGCTAAGACCTCCTGGAGAACATTCATCCAAAGAGTGTTTCCAAATCATCTCCCAGAGCTGCCGCAATGCCTGAAATGACATGAATAGTGTTAGGTGTCATACCACACTGGAGACAATAATTTTTTTTCATTACTTTCCCAACTGTCATGTGAGACCAGGAGCAACACTACTCACAAGAATTTCACAAAATTACTTGCAGAAAAAAATACAGGGACTTGTTTCTAGCACATTTCTGACATATTGTCAGTAATGGCTCACACCAAACCACAGATTTCTCTGAATCAGTAAGCACTGATTTATACCTACAAGACAGTCTCAATCCATACCTGAAGAAGAGCACTGCCAATATAGTCAGCATTTCTGTTTTATACCCTTGGGAAGTTTTGACACTTAACAATATTTGCATCTTGTTTGCATAAAGGCTTCTTTTGGGTGTTTTATTTGTTTCGTTTTGTGTTCAGAACAAGACTATTCTCAACACAGTGTGTTTAAGACTCATATATAGGGATGCTGTATTATATATGAGATGGCAGGTTTTCTAACTGAGAAGTCTGTGTTTTTGAGTTTGTTTGTTTTGTTTTGTTTTATTATGTTTCCAGTGAAGTTTCAACTGGAAACAAGAAGAAAGAAAGAAATGAGAGAGGAAGGAAGGAAGACAGGAAAAAAGAAACATTTGATAAAATTAACCAATTCCTTAAAAGGCACAATCTGCTAAAACTCACACAAGAAGAAATAAATAATTTGAATAGGCCTGTGTCTACAAAACAAATTGAATAAAAAATTAATAACCACCCAAAACAGAAAGCATAAGGCCCAGATTTCACTGGTAAACTCTAACAACATTAAGGAAGAAATTATACCGATTCTATATAATCTCTTTCTCTGTAATCACCTTCTCTATAATCACTTCTCAGAAGATAGAAGTAAATATTTCCTAACCTGTGTTGAGGTCAGCTTTACCCAAATACCAGAATCAAAGTCTTTACAAAAAAAGAAAACTATAGACCAATATCTCTCATGAACATAGATGCAAATATATTCAACAAAATATTAGCAAATCAAACCCAACAATGTATAAATATATATATTACATATACATATGTAAGAATGTATACTTATATAGTATATATAATTAAATAGTATATACACTTATATACACTATATAAATAGTATATACACTATGATATATATATACTATAAAGTGTATATGTATAATATATACTATATATTTATATATACCATATAAATAGTATATATACTATAGTAAATACATGCTTTATAGTGTATATATGCTATATACCATTTATGGTACAGTATGTAGTATTATATATAATATAAAGTATATATACTATGAAGTATATATATATTGCATAAATTTTTTATGTATACATATTTATGTATGCATAAAAGCACTACATTTTTATGTATGCATAAAAATGTATACATATTTACAGATAAGTAAAAATGTATACATATTTACAGATAAGTAAATATGTACACATACATAAATATATAATTTATAAATATATAAATGTATAAATATATACATAGTCATACATTGCTGTATAATCAAGACATATATATATGCATGTAAGTATACCTCAACAAAGTGGGATATATTCCACCTGTGCAGGATGACTTGTTCAATATTTTAAAATAAATTCATATAATCCATCCCATCAGCAGGATTTAAAAAATCACATGATCATATCAATAGACGCAGAAAATCATGTGACAAAAATTCAACACCCATTTATGATGAAAACTCTCAACAAACTAGAAATAGAGAGGAACTTTCTCAACTGATAAAGAACATCTACAAAAAACCTACAACTAACACTACAACTAATGGTGATAACTAGAAGCTTTTCAACTAAAATCAAGAGCAAGGTAGGATGTCTCCTCTCATCTCTCCTTTTCAACATCATAGTGTGTGTTCTAACTTATACAATTAAAAAAAAACAGGGGCCAGGTGCGGTAGCTCACACCTGTAATCCCAGCACTTTGGGAGGCTGAGAAGGGCAGATCACGAGGTCAGGAGTTCAAGACCAGCCTGACCAATATGGTGAAACTCCATCTTTACTAAAAATACAAAAATTAGCCAGGCATGGTGGTGCACGCCTGTAGTCCCAGCTACTTGGGAGGCTGAGGCAGCAGAATTGCTTCAACCTAAGAGGCAGAGGTTGCAGTAAGCAGTGATCGCACCGCTGCACTCCAGCCTGGATGACAGAGCAAGACTCCATCTCAAAAAAAAAAAAAAAAAAAAAACAGGAAATGAAGAGTGTACAGATTTGGAAAGCAGTATTAAAATTGTCTTTGCAGATGGCATGATCATTTCTGCACAAATCCAAAAGAATCAACAACAACAAGCTCCTGGAACGAATAAACAATTATGGCAAGAATAAAGTCAATCATTTTCCTATATCTTAGTAATGAACAAATGGAATTTAAAATTAAAAATACAATTCCATTTACATTAGCATTCCCCCAAATGAAATACTTTTAGGTATAAATCTTATAAAATATGTACAAGATCTATATAAGGAAAACTACAAAATTCTAATGAAAGATAACAAAGAAGCATTAAAAAAATGGAGAGATATTTCTTTTTCATTGAGAGGAAGACTCAATAATGTCAAAACATCAGTTCTGCCCAACTTGATCTATAGATTCAATGCAATCCTAATCAAGATCCCAGAAAGTTTTTTTAATATTGACAAACTGATTCTATTCAGAATAGCCAACACAATATTGAAAGAGAAACATATGGAGGACTGACACTATCCAACCTCAAGACTTACTCTAAAGTGACAGTAATTAAGACAGTGCAATATTGACAAAAGAATAGAGAAAGAGATCAATGAAATAGAATAGAGAGCCAAGTAACAGACCCACAAAAACATAGTCAACTGGTCTTTGACAAAAGAATAAAGACAACACAATGGATCAAAGATGTTTTTTTCAACAGATGGTACTGGAAAAACTGGAGATTCACATGTAGGCAAATGAATATAGAGACAGATGTTACATCCTTCACAAAAATTAACTCAAAATAGATTATAGACACAAATGCAAAATGCAAAACTATAAAATCCCTACAAGATTTCATGAGAAAACCTTGGTAACTTTGTGTACAGGGATTGCTTTTTTGGATAAAACATTAAAGGCACCATCTGTGGAAAAAATACTCAATAAATTGGATTTCATTAAAATTAAAAACTTCTGCTCAGCAAAAGACAATGTCAAGAGAATGAAGACATAAGCCGCAGACTGGGAGAAAATGTTTGCAAAAGACATATCTGATAATGGACTTATCAAAAAGAAATTGAACTTGCTAAAGTCAACAATAAAAAAAAAAACCCAATTAAAAAACGAGCCCATGACATTAACAGACACCTCACCAAAGAAGTTCTATAGATGGCAAATAAGTATATAAAAAGCGTGGTGGCTCATGCCTGTAACCTCAGCACTTTGGGAGGCTAAGATGGGAGGATCACTTGATGTCAGGAGTTCGAGACCAGCCTGGCCAAAATGGTGAAACCGCATCTCTACTAAAAATACAAAAATTAGCCGGGTGTGGTGGCGGGCACCTATAATCCCAGCTACTTGAGAGACTGAGGCAGGAGAATCGCACCACTGCACTCCAGCCTGGGTGATAAAGTGAGATTGTATTTAAAAAAAAAAAAAAGTGAAGATTCTCTGCATTCTGTATCATGAGATAAATGCAGATTAAAACATCAACGACCTAACATTACATATTTATTAGAATGACCAAATTCTAGCACCCCGACAATATCTATTCTGGGAAGTTTGTGAAGCAACAGGAACTCTCTTCCGTTGCTGGTGGGAATGCAAAGTAGTACAGCCACTTTAGAAAGACAGTTTGGAAATTTGTTACAAAACTAAACATACTCTGCCATATGATCTAGCAATTGTGTTCCTTGGTATCTGACCTGAAAGAGTTTAAAACTTATGTCCACAAAACAACCTACACATGGATGTTTACTGCAGCTTCATTCATAATTGCCAAAAACTTTGAAGCAATCAAGGTGTCCTTCAGTAGGTGAATGTATAAATAAACTGTGGTGCATCCAGGCAATGCAGTATTATTCAGTGCTAAAAGGAAATTAACCATCAAGTCTTGAAAAGACATGGAGAAAATTTAAATACATATGACTAAGTGAAGGAAGCCAATATTAAAAGGCTATGTACTGTACAAGTTCAACGACAGGTGACTTTTGAGCAACATGGGATTAAAGGCACCAACCTCTCTTCAAGTTGAAAATCTGCATATAGTTTTTCACTCCTCAAAAACTTAAGTAGTAAAGGCCTACTGTTGACCAGATGTCTTACCAATAGCATAAATAGTAGGTTATATATTTTGTATGTTATATATGCTATGTACTGTATTCTTACAATAAAGTAAGCTGGAGAAAATAAAATATTATTAAGAAAATTATAAGGAAATATATTTAATATTCATTAAATGGAAGTGGATCATCATAAAGTTCTTTAACTTTGTTGTCTTCACATTGAGTAGGCTGAGGAGGAAGAGGAAGAGGAGGACTCAGTCTTGCTGTCTCAGGAGTGCAGAGGTAGAAGACAATCTGCACATAAGTGGACCCATATGGTTCAAACTTGTGCTGTTCAAGAATCAGCGGTTTATGGCATTATGGAAAAGACAAAATTATAAAGACAGTTAAATGACCAGTGGTTGCCAGCGGTTGATGTGGCCAAAGGATTAACAGGTGGGGCACAGAAGTTTCTCAGGGCAGTGAAAACACTGTGCAACACCCAAAGGGAACCCTGATGGAAAAGATGCGCTTTGGGTATGTAGTCATTATGATGTGTTAATATAGGTTTATGAATTGTAACAGATGTACCACTCTGGTAGAGGATGTTGATAATGGAGGAGGCTATGGATGTAAGGGCAGAAGGCATATGGGAAACCTCTGTAATTTCCTAACAATTTTGGGGTGAATATAATGCTGCTCTAAAATAATAAATTCTATCATCATCATCATCATCATCATCATCACAGGAAAGAAGGCAAGGGCACCGTGGCTCACGCCTGTAATCCCAGCATTTTGGGAGGCTGAGATGGGTGGATCATCTGAGGTCAGGAATTTGAGACCAGCCTGGCCAACATGGTGAAACCCCGTCTCTACTAAAAATACAAAAATTAGCCAGGCGTGATGTTGCATGCTTGTAATCCCAGCTACTTAGGAGACTGAGGCAGGAGGATCCCTAGAATCCGGGAGCTGGAGGCTGCAGTGAGCCGAGATCGCACCACTGCACTCCAGCCTGGGCGACAGAGTGAGACTCCATCTCAAAAAAAGAAAGAAAGAAAGAAAGAAATAGAAACTTTCATTTTTATAAGAAAAAATTGATAACGGGAATGACAAAGTGTTTTGGTGGATTATGATATAGACATAAAATTTTTAATATATTTTTAATCAATATTAAGTGGAAAAACATACAAAACTGTGGTTATCCTATAATTACAAGTATAAAAGTCTTGTGTATAAAAATAGAGACATGTGGCCGGGCACTGTGGCTCATGCCTGTAATCCCAGCACTTTGGGAGGCCGAGGTGGGCAGGTCACCTGAGGTCAGTACTTCAAGACTAGCCTGGCCAAGATGGTGAAACCCCATCTCTACTAAAAATACAAAAATTATCCAGGCATGGTGGCGGATGCCTGTAATCCCAGCTACTCTGGAGGTTGAGGCACAGAATTGCTTGAACCTGGAGGCAGAGGTTGCAGTGAGCGGAGATCGCACCACTGCACTCCAGCTTGGACAACACAGTGAGACTCCATATAAAAAAAAATAGAGACATGCTGGAAATACAGAAAAACAGAGTTAATGTGTTAGAATTTTTCAGTTGCAATGCTTAGAAAAGCCTCACAAAAATTGATGTAAGAAATATTGAGTGTTTAGGTTTGTGGTGAATAAGTAAATGTAAGCCTTATGAGGCAAAATGCAAAATGGGGTGGCTGTTACCTCATGACAGTTGGTATCAAACAAAATATTTATGTAGGCCCTGTATTAATTATGGGTTGTCAATTAGAAATCTTTGTCATAGAAAAATATAAATTGAAAGCAAAAGAAAACAAATCTACAAACTCTTAACCAAAGCTTTATACAGCAATTTCTCAGTTTGGCTGTAGACTGCTGATTCAATAATAAATGTAAGGCTTTACACAGCATCCATCCCTTTTTACCCCCTGCTTTCTGCCATGTGAGCACATAGCAATAAGGTGCCATCATGGAAGCAAAGAGACAACAGCCCTCCCTAGAGCCAGGATCAAGGCTCTAGCAAATTCTAGGGCATGAAATTTTCTAGAGCCTTGATCCTGGACTTCCCAGCCTCCACAATTGTGAGCAATAAATTTCTGTCATTTATATATATCTAGTTTAAGGTATTTTGTTATATCAGCATGAATAGACCAAGACACACCCAAACGCTAATCAATGGATTATGGATAAACAACTTGCAGTTTATGCAAACAACACAATACCATTCAGTCATAGAAAGGAATGAAGTACAAATCATGCTACAATGTGGATGAAACTTACCTTATGCTAAGTAAAAGAAGCCAGACACAAAACGTTACATATTGTATGATTCAATTTATGCAAAATATATCTAGGAAGAAAAATTCATAAAAAGAATGTAGGCCAGGCACGGTGTCTCATGCCTGTAATCCCAGCACTTGAGATCAGGAATTCGAGATCAGCCTGGTCAACATGGTGAAGTCCCATCTCCATTAAAAATACAAGAATTAGCTGGACATGGTCGTGTGCACATGTAATCCCAGCTACTCGGGAGGCTGAGACTTCTTGAGCCCAGGAGGCAGAGGTTGCAGTGAGCCAAGATGGTGCCACTGCCCTCCAGCCTGGGCCACAGAGTAAAACTCTGTCAAAAAAAAAAAAAAAAAAAAAACAAGAGAAAGAATGTAGATTTTAGTGGTGGGGTGAGAGCATTCTAGGATAGGGGAATGGGGAGTAACTGCTTAAAGGGTATGGGAACTGTTACATTCAGTTTACACTAAAGCTGCTTCCTTACATATTTTAAGTTCAGCCTACAGGCTTCTTCATACATACTGAACTCTAACCAAACAGGATATGTAAACAGACTGTACCCCACTCTGACAATCATGGAGTTTCAGCCACTCACAGGTGGCCAATGATTCAAACCATGTTCAAATGAGGCAAATGCCAAATTTAACCAATTGGTTCTTTCTCTACCTCACTTCCAATTTCTAAAAGTCGCTTTTCTTTTTCTACCCATAAATCTTCTTTGACCATGAGGCAGTGCTGAAGACTCTCTGTATCTATTCTGGTTCAGGGAGGCTGGCTGATTTGCTAATTATTCTTTGCTCAATTAAAATCTTTTAAATTTAATTTGT
Source organism: Homo sapiens (assembly GCF_000001405.40). Lineage (NCBI taxonomy): Eukaryota > Metazoa > Chordata > Mammalia > Primates > Hominidae > Homo > Homo sapiens. The sequence continues at coordinate 156,029,632 of NC_000004.12, read as the reverse complement.
CCAAGGTTTTTCTTTTAACAGATCCCTTTCGGATGATGAAAATCTTTCGGAAGTGTAAAGAGATGGTGTTCACGCAACATTCTAAATATACTAAATATCACAGAATTGTTCACTTTAAAAGTGGCTAAATAAGTAAATTTTATCTCAATTAAAAAAAAAACTAAAAAAGTCATAGGAAAAACAAATATATTAGACTAATTGTTCACAGACTTGCCGATGGAACTCAAAGTCTCATGGTCACAGGTACCATCTTATACTTATAGTAAATCAATTTTTTTTTTGCTTAAACTAATCCTAAAAACTACCATTTTTCTCATGAGATTTGATCCCCTAAATTTATGAAATCTTAATACAATTTCATTTTAAGGGCTCATTCTCTTTGTCTGAAACTAGCAATAAACTTGTCTAAAAAAATGTTCACATCTTTGAGCTTAAATAATTCTTATTTTATTTTTCCATGTTCTTCCATTACATAATAATGAATTAGCTGAGGGAAAAAACTGCTACAAGAATGCAAACAAAATGTTGGTTAGCCTATAGTCACTTTGTCAGCTCATTTTTTATGATATTGCTGTTTCCTATGCCAACAAGGCTTTGCTGCAATTCGCTAAAAGGCAGAAAAACTGTAACACCATAGCCTTTATGCAAAGACCTTCAAACAAATTTTTTTTTTAGTATTTTGTTTGTTTGTTTTTGAGACAGGGTCTGGCTCTGTTGCCCAGGTTGGCTCTGCCACCTCCATCTCTGGGGCTCAAGCCATCTCCCACCTCAGCCTCCAGAGTAGCTCGGACTACAGGCATGCACCACCACACCTGGCTAATTTTTCTATTTTTTTGTAGAGACAAGCTTTCATCATGTTGCCCAGGCTGGGCTGGTCTCCAGCTCCTGGCCTTGAGTGATCCACCTGCCTTGGCCTTCCAAAGAGCTGGGATTACAGCACAAACCATGTCACTGGACCTGATAATAATTTTAAAGTGACAAAAACAACTAAGACAATAAATAATTTTTCCTTTGCCAATTTAGTGAAGTGCATTAAAAACACACCGTAAATTTTCAGAATATGTAACTTTTTGTTTTGTAATTGATAAATATTGATAACCATGAAGAATAATCCACTTTAAACCTGCTATTTAGTAGCTGCAATTATGTTATTTTTATTTTTTATTTTTTAGCAGACTCAGGACTCTCAAAGAATCAGGAAAAGAATAGTTTCCACTTGGCTATTTTATTCTTTTCACTGAGAGATCTCAAATCCACTTGACCTGCATTAATTCAACTTCACGAAACCAATTTTGATGTTCTGTCAAGGTTAAAGTTTTTCTTAGCAGGGAAAGAATTCCTGACACACTTATGAATTTTATCCCTGTTTAATTGTAAAAAGTAAAAGTTGGTTTAGCTAAGAGGTTATGTGCTTTTAAATGATCAGGTTGGGGAAGATTAATATGAGGCAGCCCAGGGAACTAGATTTATTTATTTTTTATTTTTAAATTGATACTTAATATTTGTACATATTTATGGGATACATGTGATATTTTGATGCATGCATAGAATGTGTAATGATCAAGTCAGGATATTTAGGATATTTATCACCTTAAACATTTATAACTACTTGTGTTGCTAACATTTCAAATTCTCTCTTCTAGCTATTTTGAAATATACACTGTTTTTAGCTATAGTCTCCCTACTGTATTATTAAACGTTAGAATTTATTCCTTCTATCTAACTGTATGTTTGTACTAATTAACCTACCTCTCTTCATCCTCAACTTCCTGTTCCATAAATGCACCCTTCCCAGCCTCTAGTAACCATCATTCTACTCTCCACCTCCATGAGACCAAATTTTTTAACTCCCACATATGATGGAGGACATGTGACATCTGTTTCTGTGTCCAGCTTACTTAACAGAATGACTTCCATCCATGTTGCTGCAAATGACAGGATTTCATTCCTTTTAAGGCCAAATACTATTCCATTGTGTGTGTGTGTGTGTGTGTGTGTGTGTGTGTGTATATGTATATACACACAATGAATTATATATATATACTATCTATATATTTATATACTATATATATTTATATATAACATATAATTATATAATAGAAAATGTAGTATGTGTATATATATTATACACATATGTGTGTATATACACACACACACACACACACACAACACCCCACATTTTCTTTATTCATTCATCCATTGATGGACACTTAGGTTGATTCCCTATCTTTGCTGTTGTGAATAGTGCTGCAGTGAACCTGATATTCTGATTTCCTCATCTTTGGGTAAATACCAAGTAGTGAGACTGCCGGATCGTATGGTAGTTCTACTTTTAGTTTTTTGAGAAATCTCCATACTGTTTTCCATAATGGCTGCACTAATTTACATTCCTGTCAACAGTGTATGAGTTCTTTTTCCTCTCCATCCTCACCAGCATGTTACATTTTGTGGTTTTGATATCTTAAAACTGCTTACTATCCAACTTCTACTGGGCCCTCCTAGCAACCCTTTGTTTCCCTTTATTAATGTTCCATTCTTAAGTTTAAAATGCCAGCTGTTACAAATCTTTTACTCAGACCTCCAAACTGCTCTGTTTCTCCCCTTCTTAAAACACTCTGGCCTCTACTTTGGCCAGTTTTCATTCTGAATATACACTTAGTTGAAAGATAACTGATCCTTGAACCTTCATCCCCCCTGCAACATACACTTCTGATTTGTACATCTCAGTCTTTCTTCAGAGTCTTGTTAGATTTTTCTCTTTGGGAGTCTCCTTACAAATACATTATCTTTGGTTTCATTGCATTTCTCTGACTTTTCCTTATTTAATAAGATTTTTATTGTAAAAGTTAAACATATTCATTGGGAAAAATATAAAACAAGTGAATAAAACAAAAATATTAAAGCTATTCGTGAGAGATTACTACTGAGAATAGAAAAATAGAATAAATAAATGTCTTCTTTCAAACCCCAAATCCTGCTCTCAATTGTGTTGCACTCCAAAGAGGCCTCTGAAGAAACATATTCATAAGAGATAAAGAAAGGCTAAGAAAAACATCGTGTTGGGCTTTAATCTACTGTACTGGGTTGTTCTTGCATTGATATAAAGAAATACCTGAGACTGGGTAATTTATAAAGAAGGAGATTTAATTGGCTCACGGTTCTGCAGGCTGTACAGTTGTGACGCTGACATGCCTCAGCTTCTCAGGAGGTCTCAGGGAGTTTTAACTCATGGCAGTAGGCAAAGTGGGAGCAGGGAAATCACACCATGAAAGCAGGAGCAGAGGGCGAGGAGGTGCCACACTCTTTTAAATGGGCAGATCTTGCAAGAACTCACTATCACAAATACAGCACCAAGCCATGAGAGATCTGCCCCATGATCCAAACGTCTCCCACCAGGCCCTACCTTCAGCATTAGGGATTACAATTCAATATGAGATTAGGGCAGGGCAAATATATAAACTATATCATCTACCCAAGCTCCAGGTATAGCTTGAACAGAGCAGGGCTAGAGGACTCTAGTTGCCTCAGCTATTGGCAGTTTTGGAATAGATGGACAAAAATCTAAAAAGATGCCTTGTGATAGTATCATGAGTCCTGTATCCCTTATACTGTTATCATTCTAAAACACCAGAGCCTATTCAACACTCTGGTTATATTGTAATTTAGTAAATCCCATTCTACTATTGTAAAACTAACTCTGTGGTGACATCCTGCTCTCCCATACACACACATGTACCTATTAGTCTTAGAGTTTGGAATAAATTCCTAGAACTCGAGATTAAGGGCATGTACACATGTTGGTTAAGACCCCTTCTCTTGCCAGTGAAAAACAAACCAACTCATTGGAAAATTGATTGGCTCATGTAGCTCAACGTTTTAGAGGTAGAATTGACTTTAGATGTATCTTTATGCTGAGTTGAAACAATGCCACCAGAATCCAACTCAGCGTTGCCTATTCTGAGTTATTGGCTTAATTCTCAGTCTCCTCGTGGTAAACACCACCCCCGACTCCAACCACCCCAGTGGCTTCAGATTTACATTATGGCAACACGAAATCTAGCAGAATGGTTAGTTTCCTTGAGATTATAAAAGAAATCCTTAAATTAATCTCAACAGGTCTGACATAGGCTCTGCCTATCTCTGAATCAACCTCTGTCATCTTGTGGGCTGTTATTTTGTCTTTTTTTTGAGACAGCGTCTTGCTCCGTCTCCCAGGCTGTAGTGCAGTAGAGCCAGCCCAGCTCACTGCAACCTCCACCGCTTGGGTTTGAGCAATTCTCCTACCTCAGCCTCCCGAGTAGCTGGAACTACAGGTTGTGCCATCACGCCTGGCTAATTTTTGTATTTTTAGTAGAGACAGGGTTTCATCATGTTGGCCAAGCTGGTTTTGAACTCCTCACATCAAGTTATCCACCCACCTCGGCCTCCCAAAGTGCTGGGATTACAGGCATGAGCCACCATGCCGGGCCCGGGCTGTTATCTTTAAATTTATCAGCTGAGAGTGAGAGAAGGGTGATTTCCTAAAGGAAAATCAAGGCATAGTCCTTAGAAGGAGGAGTGAATTAATCTGTGGGACCCTAACAAACGTCCATGACAGGATTGCTTTGTGAGCTTTAGAAAACACTTGACACTAATATAAACTGAATTATAGTCAACATGGTAGTGAAAAAGAGAAACTTTAATTTTAATTGGCCCCATATTTGAAGCATTGACCTTATCTGAAGTGTTTGAATTTCTTTTTATCTAATTTTTTAATTACTTGCCCATTCCTGTCCTTTATTCAGCTATGGTTAAGGTATTTGGGGTTTTGACTCTGTTTGGTTTTTGTCCTGCTATTTCATGCTTTGAGTATTTTTTCTCATTCTTAGTATTAGGATGCTGCCTGATAATTGTCTAATTTTATTCATTTGTAGCACCCTTTTCTTTCTTTTTAACTTTTATTTCTGCCAAGAATCTCATAAGATTTGTTATTCTTGAAGTAAAAGTTTTGGTAAAGATATGTCTAGTTTTTGTTTTGTTTTGTTTTGTTTTTCATTTCTTTTAACACTTTTCTCACCCCTGTAATTGTACCTGGCACCTATTTAACTTTGTAGATCTGCAAATAGAAGTCAATATTCAGGATTCTCTCTCACATCCTGTCCTCGATCCACTGCTTATGTCTCTGAATATTTGTAATATTCCATTTTTTAATTTGTTTCTTAAGAAGACCCAATTAACCAATTAGGTATGTAGTTAGTATTTCTGTTGCCTTCCCTCTACATAGAAATATACTAATTTTCATCTTTGTCTCTTCCCCTGAGTTCAGAGAAAATTTATCATGTTTGTCCTTCATACCACTCATTTAGTTTTTACAGGGTCAATTCTGCCCTTTCTTGTTCTGGATGTATTTAAAAATCATAATTAATTTTTCTACTATAATAGATTTCTCCTTATTCCATTTTAGGATTTATTTATATTGCTGCCTATCTCCTTCCTACCTCCTATTTTATCACCCCTCTTGTAACATCATTTTTTTTTTTTACTAATATAAGCCACATTTCCTTGAATTTCATCAAAAGTTAAAAGCATTGCCCACCTAAAATACTGTTTTCTTTTCTATACCTCCTTCTTTATCCTCCAGAACTCTTTACACTTTTTTTTTTTTTTTGAGACAGAGTCTTGCTCTGTTGTGCAGGCTGGAGTGCGGTGGCACGATCTCAGCTCACTGCAACCTCCACCTTCCGGGTTTAAGAAATTCTCCTGTCTCAGCCTCCCAAGTAGTTGGGACCACAGGCGCACACCACCACCCCCAGCTAATTTTTGTATTTTTAGTAGAGTTGGGGCTTCACCATATCGGTCAGGCTGGTCTTGAACTCCTGACCACAAGTGATCCACCTGCCTCGGCCTCCCAAATTGCTGGGTTTACAGGCGTGAGCCACCATGTCTAGGCCACACTTTTTATTTTATTTTATTTAAAATAACTTTTTATTTTATTTTATTTAAAATAGCCCGCCACCATGCTCGGCTAATTTTATTTATGTTTTTATCATTCATTTAATTTATTTAGCCTGAAACTATCCAAACTAACATTACCTTTCAAATCAGGATGAGTGGATTTTCTCAGATATTCTTATTTTCCATTTGGACAATTTTAGATATCTTATTTATGAATGTAACCTGAAGTAATTGTTATATAATTTTTTTAAAAAAAAAACTACACTGAAAGGCATAAGGATTAAGCCAGGACAACAGGGAAAATAATGGACTGGGAAACACATTGCTCAGTTTTGTCTCTGTTGTGAGGCTGGACTCACTGCGTGTGTAGAAGAGGCACTACTGTTTCATCTCATCTTTAAAAGGTATTCATCAGTGAGCACAGTTCACTGTGATAATCCCTGCTCCCGTAGGACCACTGCCTGATCCAGGGACTCGACCTCAGTACAATTAGGATTGATCATTACTTCTTCCACCAAAGATAGCTTTGTGAACTTGTACAACAAACATTTTCAGAGATGTCACCATGACTATTGTAGATTGTCACTTCTTATAAGCTTGTATTCTGAAGCTGACCTACAATAACATGCCTTATCATTTATAACATATATTAATAATGAATCAATTAAAGAAGATTCAAAAGATTTTTCTGCTCTTCTTCCAGGTTCTCACTCTAGCTTTTAGCCCAAGAATGTATGTTGTATGTAATATTCTTTACGTATTTAGGGCTCAGAAAATGATACCCCCAAAATTTGGTGCTTTGACACACTGAACATTTTGAACTAAAACTGGAAGGCCTTAGATGCTGCTTCAGAATCAAAGTTTCTCTCTGACCTTCCCCCACCCCCTAATCTCTCTGATCTTCTTTCTTTCCCAAAGCACCAGCAAGGATTCTCTCTGGAATTTTTTTATCTGACTGGAGAAACTTATTTCCAGAAGAAATGCAATTTTCTTAAGACTCCCTCCCTAGGGATCTCACCAACTAACCAGGAAAGATTAACCACTGTAGAAGAGAAGTGACTGGGAGTTGTCACCATGTGCAGACAGACTTTTCATGTATTCTTATGGGGGCAACTCTGAGACCTTACCTGGGAGACTTTATCTGTATAATAAGACAACTTTGTTCACAGTGAAGTTCTATTCTTCACCTTCCACCACCACCCCCAGAGCTCAGAAGAACTTTATCCAAGGAAATTGTTCTTTGAGCTCATTTATTTCCTGTAAAAAATCATTTACTACCCTTCTAAAATTTCTTATAGCATCCCACTTCCCTCTCTCCTGTGAAGAAGGTATATATAAGTCTCAATAATTTGGCCTTTGAGTCTCATATTTCTGTGACTCTCATGTCCACGTGCAGATTAACAAATTTCTATGCCTTTTTCTCCTACTGACCTATTGTCACGATTTCAGTGAACCTCAGTGGGCAGAGAGGAGGCTCTTCCTTCCCCACTACACATTCATGCCTTTCTAACATTATTGATCCAGATAAAAACAACTGGCAATATCTACTACATTTTACAATGGAATTTGTCTTGATTCATTGATTCTACCTCTAAGGACATACACATGGGTGCTTTGTTTACTCATTCTAAAATTTTTATATCAACAAAGTCTCAGAAACACTCTAGGTGTTTATCAGTGGAGTACAGGTAGACCGATTAGGGTATATCCATGGAGAAGGATACTAAGCAGCTGTTAAAAGGCACAAGGTCAAATATAAGAAAATGTAACCTTTATATAGTATTAAGAATTTTTAAGAGAGTTACAAAAACAGAATATAATAAAATGATATGCATATAAACATATGAAACTGTCAAGTGCATCTGTGTGAAGAGACCACCGACAGGCTTTGTGTGAACAACAAGACTGATTATTTCACTTGAGTGCAAATGGGCTGAGTCCGAAAAGAGAGTCAGCCAAAGGAGATGGGGTGAGGCAGTTCTATAGGACTGGAGTAAGCAGTGGAAAGTTACAGTTAAAGGTGGTTATCTATTGTCAGCAGAGGAGGGGGTCACAAGGTGCATGGTGGGGAGATCCTAAGACTCATTGTCCAGAAGAAGAATGTCACGAGGTTGATCTATCGATCAGTTGGGGCAGGGCGGGAACACATCACAGTGGAATGTCGTAAGGTTGGTCAATCAGTTAGGACAGGAGCTGGCTGTTTCACTTCCTTTGTAGTTTTCGGTTGCCTCAGGCCATCTGGATGTATATGTGCAGGCTTAAGCTCAGAGGCCTGACAGAAACATCATAGACGTGATCATATAAACCCTGAAAATATCTGAAAAATAAATGCCACACTTGCCACCAACTAGGAATGAATAATAGATAGGAAAGTTTGGGAGCATTTCCTCTTAATATCATACAATTCTGTTTTCTGATTTTTCTTTGCTTTCATAAACTTACCAAAAAGATAATATCTAGAAGTTAACATTATGCAAACTGGAGTATATTCCTTACAATCTCTTATTGTCAGTTATTCTCATGCCTGGTCTATTAGCCCATTCTCACACTACTATAAAGAAATACCTGAAGCTGAGTAATTTGTAATGAAAAGAGGTTTAGTTGGCTCACTGTTCCATGCTGTGCAGGAAGCATGGCTGGGGAGGCCTCCTAAAACTTACAATCATGGTGGAGGGCAGAGGGGAAGCAAGCATGTCTTCACATGGCTGGAGCAGGAGGAAGAAGAGAGCAGAGAGGGAAGTGCTACACGCTCTTAAACAACCAGATCTTGTGAGAACTCACTCACTATCACAAGAACAGCAAGGGGGAAATCTGCCCCCATGATCCAATCACCTCCCACCAGGCCCCTCCTCCAACATTCGGGATTACAATTCCACATGAGATTTGGGCGGGGACACAAATCCAAACCATATCACTTGGTTTCATGAATTCACTCAAGTTTTTCCCCTCCCTTATATGTCTTTCATTTGTCCAAATTCTATCCAAATCCCTTTCTTGTAACTCAGTTCAAATTTCGTATCTCTCAAGCAGTGTTTTCTAATAAGTAACTGCCCTCTATGAACTATTTAATCAAAACATTCACCCCACCGAGGATCCATAAAATGGACCTTATTCTAATAATATGACACTGTAGGGAAAGAAAAATGATTTTCCCTCTATACTTCACAGTTCCTTTCACAGCTGTGTGAAAGGAAAATAAATCTTGGCAAACCTACCTCCCTTTTAATTCCTAAGTAAGATAGCTACGAAGATTAAAAAAAAAAAAAAAAAGCTATGTACTTTCCTCACAATTTGTCCACAAGGAAATTTCTTGTGGGCTTCAAGATTTTTACCCTAAAGCAGTTCTGTTGAATTTCACCCTGGCAGTGTAAATTGATAGCTTATCTTCACAGTTGCAGGACAAAGAACAAAACTCAGTCATCCCTGTACTCACCTGAGACAAATGTGTATCTGAGTGCTTCCTCCACCCTATTGCTTATGTAAAAATGCAGATTTACTGAGCCAGACTAAGGCATAAGCGATGATTCCTCTACCTGCCTCTCAAATGTAAATTGTGTATTCACTGAAAGGCTGATCAAAGACCTGAAAGAATGCGATCTTTTGTCTCTTATCCACCTATGACCTGGAAGTCCCCACTTCAAGTTGTCCCTCCTTTCTGGACCAAACCAATATACATCTTACACATATTGATTAAGGTCTCATGTCTCCCTAAAATGTAATATGCCAAGCTGTGCCCCGACCAGCTTGGGCACATGTTGTCAGGTTCTCCTGAGGCTGTGTCCCAGGTACAGCCTTACCTTTGGCAAAATAAACTTTCTAAATTGATTGAGACCTGCCTCAGATAATTTTGGGTTCACAGCTGGCACTCCCGTAACAAAAAGACAGATTCACAAGAGAAAAATAAAGAGAATTTTATTAGCATATATTCCTCATGTATACATGGGAGATATCCAGGGAAAATGAGTGACTCTCAGAGGTGGCTTAGAATTCAGGCTCAAATACCATCTTCAGTCAAAGACAAAAGAGAGAAGGAAGTGGAGGACAGTTATGGAAAGGTGTCCAGGAAAAGTACCCTAAACACCAATAAGGTTTGTTATGCAAATCTGAACTGGTGCCTTCTCCACTGATTCCCTGCTACATCTCCCGTGATTTAGTCTTCCTTCTGTTTCTGATAGACAGAGAGAGACAGACAGACAGAGAGAGAGAGAGAGAGAGACAGAGACATCCTTGCAAATGGAAATTTCTTTATAGATGTAAATTTCTCTTGCAGGCTACATCTCCCGTGATTTAGTCTTCCTTTTCTGTGTCTGGTAGAGAGAGAGAGACAGACAGACAGAGAGAGAGAGAGAGAGAGAGAGAGACATCCTTACAAATGGAAATTTCTTTATAGATGTAAATTTCTCTTGCAGAAGGGTAACTTCCACTTTGTTTTCATAGCTTCTATGTCTATGTCTATAGATATAGTGTCTATGTCATAGATATATATAGATATATAGACATAGTGTCTATTTCTGTTGGGTCTCAAAATAATCAGCTCAAAATCATCCTTATGCCAAAAAGCCATATTCGGGGTGATGTATCCTTGTCACAACATCTTATATTTCTCCCTACTGCTCTTTAGTTTTTCACCAGATGTTAGTTGTCTAAAGAAAAATGCCTGGATCAAAGACTTCTCAGTTAACCCTTTGAATATTCACCACATCCTTTGTAGAGCAGGTACCCAGTAAATGTTGATTAACTAATAGCTTAGTAAGTAAAATCACTTTGACTTCACAAGTACATTTGTATTTACAGGTTTGCTTTGTGTCCTTGTACTTTTTCATAGACAAAAGGATGATCAGCCATCAATTTTTAATATTATTTTCTCTGTTCAAAATGAATGCTAAACTGGTAATTAACTTCAAGAATTAAAGTAGATTTAGTGACCATTTTTATATACAAACTCTTCCTGTGGGCATTTCCCCCGTTTTTATACATTACATTTACTATTAATAGAACTCATAGTATGTCTTTTCATGCGTTCAATGGCTTTTATGTCAGCCAGAGTATTGAAGTGGTTTCCTGCAGTACTGTCAAAGCTTTTCGACTTTTTTTTCTGGCCCGCTCATCTTTTTCCAGAAAGCCAGTGTGATGGCCTCCTATAGTGCTGTTGTGTTTATTCCAACAGTCATACGAGAACAATCAGCCAGATAAAGGAAAGCACATCATACAAAATTTTGTTTTGAGTTTAAAGAGCACTCCTGGACATTCACAAAAAGAAATGCTTTTCCCAAGAGAAAAATACATTTATTATCTTCTTTGTAAGGCTGAGCCTCTAATCTAAAATGGTGTTTGAGCAACAGCTGCTCACCTCTGTTACAATTTTGAGTCACTTAGTTTCCACAAATCCTAATATGTAACTGGGCCTATGAAATACTAAGGAGGCTATTCATTTAGATCTAATATTCTGATATTCTCTTTTGTGCATTTAGTTTTCACTGGAGGTAAGTAGAGTCAATGCAAATGCACACATTCAAAGAATAAAGGCTTGAAAGCTGAGCCCCTATGCATTGAAATGGAGCGAGCCACAACTATTGGAGCAAAATATCTACCAATTCACCCTATCCGCCTTTCGCATAATCACTCCTTTATACTAACACACATGAACTATAGGTAGGCTCAATAAAATTTATCAATTAATGGGGCCAAATAAATTAAAAGTTTTGCCAACTACCTTATACAATGTCCACATCAAAATATAATAAGTATATAATCTTAAACATTAAATGCTTATGTTCAGCCAATTTAACTTCAGAAAAAAATGATTTAATTTCTGCAGATGATGTAACAGACTGATGAAAACTTCATACTGATCAGCAGTGGCTAGCAGACCAACATTAGAAAATCTCTGATCTGGATCAAATCTTTTAGAGATAAAGAAACAAACCCAGCACTGTTGGATAACTTGTACTTTAAAAATTGTGGGATTAGTTAGTGTTTGGTGTGGAATGAAAGAGGTTTTCTTTGTCAGAGGCAAGGTCACGGGCATGCATGCATGTTGATGTCCTTCTAATGGTAACGTTCAATTTATCTTCCATTCACAAAAGTGCCTTTTTCTTTTCCTTTTTTTTTTTTTTTTTTTTTTCTGAGACGGAGTTTCGCTCTTGTTGCCCAGGCTGGAGTGCGATGGCATGATCTCAGCTCACCGCAACCTCCGCCCCCTGGATTCAAGCGATTCTCCTGCCTCAGCTTCCCAAGTAGCTGATTACAGGCATGCGCCACTATGCCCGGCTAATTTTGTATTTTTAGTAGAGACGGGTTTCTCCATATTGGTCAGGCTGGTCTCCAACTCCCCACCTCAGGTGATCCGCCCTCCTCGGCCTCCCAAAGTGCTGGGATTACAGGCGTGAGCCACAGCGCCCAGCCTAAAAGTGCCCTTTTAATGGTCAAATGATTTTGATGGTTTAACGAATTTCCAAAAGTTGACTTTATTTCTAGAAAGCCTATGATTAAGGATAATATTGCCACTAAACGTTTCACCTTGGCAGCAATAACAATCCTGACAGTTTTGGGAATTACCAAGGTCAATACCCTCCTTATTTCCTGTGCAACCACGAATGACAATTATTTATCTAGATATCACTTTGGAAAATTCTTATAATTTAAAATCGAATGAATAGATCAGGAGTAGGATGACTGTACAATTTATTATCACAAACCAGGACATTTTGAGAGTGAAAGGGATGCTATTAGTAATCATGCCAAGACAACATTGGCCATCTGGATAGTCTCAGACAAACTGGGACTTATTGTCACACTGGTCACATTTTCCATGCAGTTTTAAGACAAAAATCCAAATTTGAGAAAATAAATGATGATGAAATTTTCTGTGTTCTGAAGATAGTAAAAATGTGAGTGATCAATAAATCATTTCGTAATGTGAACAGCAAAAACTATAGGAACTCTTATAGAGTTATAAAATAAAAACTAGAAATAATCTTTCAAAATTATTTTACTTACCTATATTGGGGCTGTTGGATCATGTATTTATTTCCTGAATGCAAAGAAAAAGCTTTATTCATTTCCAAAAACATGTGAACTCATCTAACACATCATACATTAGAATATTTGATGTGATTAAGTATTTACAAAAAAAAAAGCCTAGGCAATATATTATTTACTACAATCATATGTGAAATCCTATAATAATAACAAAGGCATCCCAGTGTCCTATCCAGGACATGTGGAATGATATGTGAGAAAAACAGAGGAAAGACGGAAATGACATACATTCTTGAAAACACTTTTTAAAGAGCAGAGTGTCAAGAATGAAAATACATACGAACTTAGAATTCACTGAATCCAATAAAACACTAGTTTTTGTTAATATACTTAAATGTTCCTTTTTTGGGGTTAAAAATTTTAATCAGGAGTTTGACAGTTTTTGACTATAATATTATTTACAGAAAGAGTGACTTAACAAATTTTTACCTTGATTTATGTGACCCTAGAGTCTATTGTACTCAGTCCTACATGTACTGTGATAGCCATAGAGAGAATTTGATGAATCCTTTTCCTTTTCTTTTCTTTCCTCCTTTTCTTTCTTCATTCTTTTCTTCCTTTCTTTTTTTTTTCTTTTTTAACCAAAAGCATTGCCATGGGAAGTCAGTATATAAACAATTCTTTGTGTGAGATTGTCATGTCCTTAGTGTAGGAGGCAGTTTTCAGAATACTTGCTTGAGATGCTAGTCACATATCGTGGGGACCCAATATTTGATGAAACCTTCTACTGTTAAATTACAACTGAGATTTGAAATGTGACTCAAAGACTCTGTATAATGAATTTTGAATGTCAGTTTTGTGACTCTTTCTGCAGTACACCACATGAATTTTTAAATTGCCTTTTAGGTCTATCAGCAACAAGCAAAGCTAAAAAACTCAGCATTTTTAATCCTAGTACTAAATATCAGAGACTGATACAGACATTATTCATCATACTTAATAAATGCATTATGATTTCAAGTACTGTGTCATCGTTAAGTACACAATCATCTCAAAGACCTAAATGTTTAACAAAAAATAAACATTGACCACATCAAATCAGTATTTTAAATAATTAGATAAGATTACCATTTAAAAATAGTGTTGAGCTATTTAATGTTCAATATAACATCATTAGGTTCATGCTGATGCTCCTGTACCAAAAGGCAAATTAACAAGAGAAAAGCATAACATTTATTTAATCAGAGTTTTACATGACATGGAATTCTTCGTAAATTAAGGTCCAAACACCCTGAGACACTGTGTATTTTTATGCTATGTCTGATGAAAGAAGTGGATAATTGTAGAGAAATATGATTGGACAAAAAGGGAGATATGATCTAATTTAACAAACTGGGGGGTGGTGCTGACAGTTGGGGGTTGAGCTCAACAAGGCCTGTTTGTTCACATTCTTTTGGTTTCTTTGTGTAGTATTCATTTCTTCCAAGAATGGGGCAGGACACTTGTCACATGATGGTCTTACACCCTACTCTCAGAATAGGTAGGTCAGAGTGTAACCTTCCTAGGTTTGATGGTTTGCTTTGGGAAATAGGTGGGAGAAGTTCAGAGAGACTTCCTTGCTTTCTGAGGCCCATCTATCTTCTTCACCTTGAAAAAAAAAAAAAGCGTCATACTTTGGGTATCTGTTCTGAGCTCTGACAATAACAAAGGTTATATTCAAAGAAGCGTCACTTCCTTCATCCTTTCCATTCTGTTTCCTTCCACCACACCAACCCACTCCCATCCCCACATAGGACCAGGCGCGGTGGCTCATGCCTGTAATCCCAGCACTTTGGGAGGCTGAGGAGGATGGATCATGAGGTCAGGAGTTCAAGACCACCCTGGCCAAGATGGTGAAACCCCGTCTCTACTAAAAATACAAAAATTAGCAGGGCATGGTGGCACGTACCTGTAATCCCAGCTACTCAGGAGACTGAGGCAGGAGAATCGTTGAACCCGGGAGGCGGAGGTTGCAGTGAGCCAAGATAGCGCCACTGCACTCTAGCCTGGGTGACAGAGCGAGACTCCATCTCAAAAAAAAAAAAAAACAAGTACACCTTAGTTTCTGGTGTGTCCCCTTCTGTTTCTTTTGACAAAAAGTAGCACATATATGTTTATATTCTTATAGCCCCTTGTTTCTTTCACAAAAGTAGAATATTATGTATGCTCCATGTATTTTACTTTCTTAACTCATCAAAATGTCCTGGAAATCTTTCCATATAAGTTCATAGAGATTGTTCTCAGTCTTTTTACAGCTCAATATATTCCATTACAGCTAAGTAGATGTCCATTCAACTAATTGCAGGGTAGAAAACTTCAAGAGTGGAAATGGTGATTTTCATTTTCTGTTTTTTTTCTTACAGTAGCTTTGTATAATTGTAGCTATTTTTTTCTTTGCAATTTCTGGACAGTTTGACTGTTTGGAGTCATTACAATATTTCTACTTTAGGAGTACTCACTTCTATCCGTATAGGGAGGTGCAGTTTCTTTAATGGGTGACCATTTTTGGTGGTTGGGAGGGTTTGGTGTGTGTTAGTATTCTCTTTTGTTCTTGTGTGATTCTTATTTTCTACTTATTTCCCACTTTTTTCCCTCTTCCTCTTCCTCTTCCTCTTCCTCTTCCTCCTCCTCCTCCTCCTCCTCCTCCTCTTCTTCTTCTTCTTCTCCTTCTTCTTCTTCTTCTTCTTCTTCTTCTTCTTCTTCTTCTTCTTCTTCTTCTTCTTCTTCTTCTTCTTCTTCTTCTTCTTCTTCTTCTTCTTCTTCTTCTTCTTCTTCTTCTTCTTCTTCTTCTTCTTCTTTTTGAGATGGAGTTTCGCTCTTGTTGCCCAGGCTGGAGTGCAATGGCATGATCTCGGCTTGCCACAACCTCTGCCTCCTGGGTTCAAAGGATTCTCCTGCCTCAGCCTCCCGAGTAGCAGAGATTACAGGCATGTGCAACCACACCTGGCTAATTTTGTATTTTTACTACAGATGGGGTTTCTCCATGTTGGTCAGGCTGGTCTCAAACTCCCCACTTCAGGTGATACGCCCGCCTTGGCCTCCCAAAGCGATGGGATTACAGGTGTGAGCCCCCGAGCCCAGACCTTTCCTTCTTCTTTACCGTCATATCTCCAACAGTGCCTCTCCGTTTCCATTTACTTACTCTCAGAAAAAAATATCTCTTTCTGAGACTACCGATCCAGATCTTTCCAGCTTCCTCCGCACTTACCAGATTTCCCCAATAGCTATGCTATGATCTGTACTATTCTAGACCACTTTTCACTATTTCGTAAGTAATGTTGGGTTTTCTCTTTTCTCTTCCTCTTTTCTGTGCATTTTTCTCAAACTCCAACCACCATGCTCTCATTCTTTTATTTTAAGCTCTAGAGTTAGCTCGAATAAAATATTGTATTTATTTCTGTAGTTGCAGGTAATAATTTGTGGATTTATTTTGCTCTCTTTATTGTCCTGTGGACAGATTCAGATGTATAAAGCTACCATTGTCCTAGAAAAAATAGAGGTTCTTATCCTAGAGCAACCAGAAAATTATTCCCTTTTAAGAAATATTTTTTGACTAGTGTAAAAATAGGTAACTGTATTATGTGATACTTTTTTATTTTTTATTTTATTTTATTTTATTTTTTTGAGATGGAGTCTTGCTCTGTTGCATAGGCTGGAGTGCAATGGCATGATCTTGACTCACAGCAACCTCTGGCTCCCAGTTCAAGTGATTCTCCTGCCTCAGCCTCCTAAGTAGCTGGGATTATAGGTGTCTGCCACCATACCCAGCTAATTTTTGTATTTTTAGTAGAGACAGCGTTTTACCATGTTGGCCAAGCTGGTTTGAAACTCTTGACCTCAGGTGATCCACCTGCCTCAGCCTCCTAAAGTGCTGGGTTTACAGGCGTGAGCTACCGTGCCTGACCTTATTATGTGATATTTAAAATGTTGGTTAAACCATCGTCTGCCTCCTTGGAATTTTAGTCAAGCTCTCTTCGAAGAAGGAGGTTTAGGGAACTTAATGCATACTAAATGCTTCTTGTAGCTTCAGAAGTTATTATCATAAATTAATGTTGAATTTTTGAAGGGCTTTTCTGCTTCTAAAAAGATCGTTTTTTAAAAAATAATCTTTTAAGTGCAATGAATTATATTTTCAGACTTCCTGATGTGGAGCTACTTTTTCATCCTGGATAAAGCCAACTTGATCATTCTGTATTGCTTTATTTGTATATGACTGCTTTTTTGCTAGTAGTGTATCACTGTCCAAAAATTAGCAGTATCAGTGTTAACAAGGGAGTCTGGACTGTTTCCTTCTTTTCCCTCATAAATGGATGAATGTAATTATCACAGGAGTGGGTTTGTTGTTGTGAGAGTAGTTTGTTATAAAAGCAATTTCAGCTCTTGATTGCTCTCTCCCGGTCCTTGGCCTTCTTCCTTCTGCCACAGGATAATGCAGCAAGAAAACCTTCACCAGGAGTGGGCCCCTCAGCCTTAGGCTTCCCGGCCTCCAGAGCTGTAGGAAGCAGCTATCTGTTGTTGTTTGTTTGTTTGTTTTATAAATTACCCAGTTTGTGGTATTCCATCACAGAAACACAAAACGAACTAAGACAGCTGTGGGTACTCACACTGGCTGATAACTGTTCATAACATTAGCACAGACACTTAGACAGTACATGTCACTCTACAGATATTGGAATCTGCTTAATCTATTAATTCTTAAAGAGATGTGTTAAACCCACTAGTTTAGCGAATTCATGTATTTCACCTTTTACTTCTGATAGTTTTTCATTTATCTGTTTTGAAGTTACGTTATTAGGTGCACAAAGGTTTAGAGTCTTCCTGTTCCTGTAGTGATTTTGTTTCATTACTGATTTACTCCAACTTCTAATGTTTTATTTCTAATTGTCTGTATTTCTATGTTTCTCCCCACCTCTCTTACTTATATTCAGTTGAACTGATTTATTTTTGTTTGTTCACTTCACTTTTACTACTCTGGAAGTTATACTCTCATTTCTGGTCTTTTACTAGATATTTTATATATACTTTACTAGATATTTTTACACGTTTTACTTAGAGAACTCCCAATTAATAATCTGCTGTATATTACTCTTCTCAAAGTACAGACTCAAATAAGTTCTAATTCTGCAATTTGTTGTTTATCTGTCTCTCATATCAGGGCTTTTTGGTCAGGTGTTTGTGATTCTTAATTGCAATCACACACTGCGTATATATTTTGTATCAGAATTTTTGAGGCTATTTTTAAAGTAAATTCATTTTAAATTCCTCACGTAGTAAGATACAGCAGATTTCCTAGAGCAAACGTGAGCTTCGAATTTTTACTTCTCTACAGTTTTATTTACCCATCCTTTCTGCATTCTTATTTGTCTTACTTTTACTTACTATCAATGATTTTAAAATATTTTAAGCATCCTATACAGTATTTTTAAATGCTGTACATCTAATTTGCTGTATTGATAGAAAAGGGAATCAATATATACACATGCTCCTGGAATTATGATGTGATTTGGTACCAATAAAGCCATCATAAGATGAAAAGATCCTCAGTTGAAAACACATTTAATACACCTAGCCTTCCAAACATTACAGCTTCCCCAGCTTACCTTAAATGTGCTCAGAATGCTTACATTAGCCTACAGTTATGCGAACTTATTGAACACAAAGCTTATTTTATAATAAGATTATTATTATAATAATAACCAAAATTCAAAATTTAAAGTATGGTTTCTACTGAATGCATATTGCTTTCATACCACTATAAAGTCAGAAAAAAAAACCCTAAATTTAAACATTATAAGTTGAGGACTGTCTGTAATTCTTTTTCTGAAGCAGTTATTAAAGACTACAGAACAAGACACAAATAACTCAAAAGGATTTTTAAGCAAAATCTATTGTTGTCTAAGGGACAATATTACATAATAGTATTGCCTACAGAGTTTTTTCTGTCTTCTGTTGTTGAGATTTTTCTTTTGTTCCTGACATCTCAGCCAGTGAAGATCTCTACCATTTTAAAATGGGCAGACAAAAGGGAAGATTATTACCTAGCCAAGCTCTGACAGATAACTGCAAAAAGGATCCTTCTTATCCAAACCAGACGATTAGTGGTTGTGAAATCCAATTGCTATTCTTTTCATTCACATTCAAGGCACTGAAAGCCAATTTCCTTTTGTTTTCTCTTTCCTTTTCCCTGGAAAAGCACCAAAATACGGGAAGTATACATCATTACATACACTAAAATATGGTGTTTTCTAAATTTTAGTGTTTATACACGTGTGTGTGTATACATATAGAAAGAGACAGAGGGAGATGTTTTCTTCCATTTATTAAGTGCATAAAAATTATCTTCTTTAGCAGAATGGCTAGAGACTTCAAACCATATATCAAAAGCAATAGGACAAATAATGGATTCTCTCTCTTCTCAGGTGAAGAAAGAATTGGAATGGTGGGAAAATATCTAGATGCCTGTCAGTCTGCAAGAAGATCATCTTAGTGTCTCCAGAAACCACCGTCCTTAAGATATTTCTACTTGAGCAACAGGAAACAATGCTTTCACTTCCAGTGGGATCATGGGCCGTAGTAAGGATGTTGCTGAAGTTGTTTGTGGCATTATTTTCTGGTCAGTGAGAGCAGCTCTTCGCAGAATGAAAATATCCTGAAGAAGCAAAGCTAGAAAATTGAAAAACAAAGACTAGGTGATATCGCTTATTTATCCATGCCTAAATATAGCACTTCATTCAATATTTAGTTCCACAAGGCAATATATTTCCTTCTCCTTTATTCTTATTTTTTCCTTTTGTTTCTGTTATTTTAAAACAAAATCAATCATGCTAACAAGATCTTCCTTTCATAGTCACCCAGCAAAGGGTTTATACACATTAATTTTGCTATATATAGCAAAATTTTATATATTATAAAATTTATACATGTTAATTTTGTTATTTATAATATTATTAATGTGTATAAACATAAGTTAACATTACAGATATCTACATGTATATATACACATACGCTAGTATATGTACATACAGTACACACACACATATCAAGCAGTCCTCCCACTTTGACCTCACAAAGTGCTGGGGTTACAGGCATGAGCTGCCATACCAGGGCTATATCATTTTGGATCTATCTTTTCATTTGTCATTATATCTTTTTAGGTCTATTCATATAAATCTAATTATTTTCAAAAGTAAAATGAAGACCATAATGTATTCAGTAGTTTCCTTCTTTACAAACTTTTAAGTTTCTTCAGGTTTTTTATAGATTGCAAACCATGCTGAAAAACACCAAACATGGCACTGGTTTTAACAAGGTAGGTAAGTACTGGAGTTTACTTAGAAGAGAAGTTGGCAATAAAGTAGAAGTAGAAGTTGATATCAGACTATCACAACTAGCTTCACCAGCTTGGGTAATTTACTAAGATTCCTTGAGCCTTGCTACAGTAACTTAAAATTAGATATTTAAACTATCAAATACAGTAAATAAGTTTCCAATCCTTTGCACTATTGGCTTATTGAAATGCTGTATTAAGAGAGATTCTAAAGTCATATTTTACCACAGCAGAAAATGTATTATAAAATAAGAAAGAAGTGGCAAATGTGGCATATATGTGTCACCTAGTTCCAACTTAATATTTTATTACTATAACTTAAAAGATGGTATGAGAACTGAAATGTTATATGAGAGTCGTTTAAAGAAACTATTGCAGTTCGGCTTAGGAAAAGAGAAAACTAGAAGAATATATTCTCTCAAATATTTGACTTGAGTTCCTTAACAGAACAGAACTAGAATTACTTGTTGGAAATTACGGTGAGATTTTGACTTCAAAAAGAAAAAAAATTCTAGTAATAAGAATGTCTACTAATCAAACAAGATGCTTTTTTTGTTGGATTTATTGGCAAGAAGCTAGATCACTACAGAGGCTGCTTCAGAAATTACTTATATGAGAACAATAAAATGAAGAATATTTACTACATGTCAGACACTATGTTAATAATTTTCACATACATAACATGATAGTAGGTGATTAGAATCAATTTTCACACATAATAGACACTCTGTATCCATCACGGTGGAGTAGAAGGAAAAAGTTATTGATCAGTCTGAGAAGACAATAGTTTTGAATGCATTTTCAAACTAATTTATCCCCATAAATAAGCCAACTTTAATTAATTCACGTACACTTTCAGTTAATGTTCTGTCAGAATTTCTCTTACAAAGTTTCATCTCAAACCCTGTCTGACATATCAAGGAAGAGAAAAGCAAAGCTATGAGGTAAAACGGAGTCAACCAGCTGCCAACTTTAATACATTTCTTTTATTCTCAATTGTCTTAGCTCACTTAGTGAAAAACTGCAGCAAAAGAAAAATAGTCCACTAGGGAAAAATAATGTTGCAAAGCAGTAAAGTCTTTAAATTTCAAAGGAAAAAAAGTTATGTATATTAAATAGAAATACTGGTATGTTTTTATCACAAATATGAGCTAATTTCTTTTTAAGCCTATATTCTTTCTTTTTTGTTTTATTCTTAATTGACACATAAAAACTGTACATATTTATGGGATTTAGTATAATGTTTCAATACATGTATATAATATATGATATTAGGACAATTAGCATATCAGTCACCTCAAACATTAATAATTTTTTATGGTGAGAACATTTAAAATCCTCCCTTCAAGCTATTTTGAAGTATACAATAGATTACTGTTAACTAAAGTCACCCTACTGTGAAATGGAACATTAGAACTTATTCCTCCTATCTAACTGTAACTCCTTACCCATTTCCCAACGTCTCCACTCTCCCCCTACCCTTCCCATTCTCTGGTAGCCACAATTCTACTCTCTACTCCTATTGGATCAATGTTTGTAGATTTCACATATGAGTAAGATTGTGCCATATTTGTCTTTCTGTGACTGGCTTCTTTCACTTAAAATAATGTTCTCTAGGCTCATCCATGTTGCCAGAAATGACGGGATTTCATGCTTTATTATGGCTGAATTTTATTTAATTGTGTAAATATTTTATATTTTCTTTATCTATTCATCTGTTGATAGGCACTTAAGGTTGATTCCATATCTTGGCTGATATAAATAGTGCTTCAACTAACATAGGAGTACAGATGTCTCTTTGACATACTGATTTCATTTCCTTTAGATATGTACGCACTAGTTGGGGTGTCTGAATCATATAGTAGTTCTATTTGTAATTTTTTGAGAAACCTCACACTGTTGTCCATAATGGCTGAATTAATTTACATTCCTACCAACAGTATATACGTTCCCTTTTCTCTGCATCCTCACCAGTATTTGTCATTTTTTGCCTTTTTGATAGTAGTCATTCTAACTGGGATGAGATGATATCTCATGGCGGTTTTGATTTGCATTCCCCAAATAATTGGTGATGTTGAGGATTTTTTTATATATACTCCTTTGCCATTTGTATGGTTTCTTTTGAGAAATGTCTATTCAAATCTTTTGCCCATTTTTTCTTTTGGGGGGATGGTACCAAATTTTTTTTATTTGAAGGAATGAAACTGATAAAGAACTTAAGTGGATGTTTTGGTACAACTTACAAAAAAAGGTAAAGGAAACCCCAGCATGCATGCACTGCCTTGGTGACCAGGGAGGTTACCCCATGGCTATGGGGAAATTAGCCTAAGGCTTAGCTCTCATTGTCACTGTCTCGGGGGGTGTGTTTGTCAAATACATATTCTGCCAAGCCAGATTTGGGTGCTCCCGTCTTGTGCAAGTTGGTCACTGTGGTCATCCAATTATTTGATGGATTTCACCTGCTCCTTCAGGTGAAAATCCATCCAGGACACATTTGTCTCCATTAAGTCACACAAGTGGAGGTCATTTTTGTCAGTGGCCAGTTTGTACAGTTCCAGTAGTGACTAATTCATGTTTTTCTCCAAATGTCATGCACCCTCCATCTCATTCAGCCAGCTCTCCCAGTCATCACAGTCTGGTTTCTTGATATCTTGAAGGAAGATTGGCCACCTCGTTGGTTCTGCAGCTTCATCAGTTCCCTTGGCATGTGCCCTCTCCTCATGAGATTGGTGAAGAAAGTATTTGGCAAAGTTATTCTAAGCTACATCATCGCGGTCAAAGTAGTAAGACATGGACAAGTAGACTTGGAGGTGTAGAGTTCCAGGTTGATCTGGCAGTTGATGGCAGCCTCTGAGTCCTGGTGGTAGTTCTGGCACCTGTGAGAACGCCGATCCTCATGGCGGGGCTAAGGAGAGGCCGAGGCCACAGAGGCTGCGCAGCGCTGGAGCCGGCAGGGGCCTTGGGGTGGTCCCACGGCGCGGTGAGGAGGTGCTGGAAGGCTGGCTGTGAGCCACAGGCCAGGGTGAAGGACAAGCCCTGGTTCCTCCAAGCACTGTTGAAACAGGAAACCGTGGACACTCTACGTGAAGAGCGTCTCCTCATTTTTCAATGGATTTTGTTTTCTTAGCTATTGATTTGTTCGAGTTCCTTATATATTCTGAATATTAATCCCTTGTTGGATGGATCACTTGCAAATACTTTTTCCCATTCTGTAGGTTTTCTCTTCACTCTGGTGATTGTTTCTCTTGTGTGCAGCTTTTTAGTTTGATGTAATCCTATTTGTCTATTTTTGCTTTTGTTGCCTGTGCTTTTGAGGTCTTATCCAAAAAAATCCTTGTCCACACCAGTGTTATAAAACATTTTCCCTCTTTCCTTCTAGTAGTTTTATAGTTCTGGATCTTACATTTAAGTCTTCAATCCATTTGAGTTGATTTTTGTATGTGGTGTGAAATGGGGGTTTAGTTTCATCATTCTGCATGTGAATGTCCAGTTTATCCAGTACCATTTATTGAAGAGACTGTCCCTTCCCCAATGTGTGTTCTTGGGACATTTGTGAAAATTAATTGAATGTAAATGTGTGAATTTGTTTCTGGTTCTGTATTCTATTTCATTGGTCTATGAGTTTGTTTTTATGCCGGTCCATGATATTTTGGTTACTGTAGCTTTGTAGTATATTTTGAAGTCAGGTAGTGTGATGCCTCTAGCTTTGTTCTTTTTGCTAAAGATTGCTTTGGTTATTCAGGGTCTTTTTAGGTTCCATACAAATTTTAGGATTTTTTTCTATATCTACGAAGAATGTCATTGATATTTTGA
This sequence comes from Homo sapiens, assembly GCF_000001405.40. Taxonomy (NCBI): domain Eukaryota; kingdom Metazoa; phylum Chordata; class Mammalia; order Primates; family Hominidae; genus Homo; species Homo sapiens. The sequence continues at coordinate 156,005,538 of NC_000004.12, read as the reverse complement.
TTAGTATTATATTGAATTTGTAGATCTCTTTGGGTAGTTTCATCATTTTAACAATATATTCCAATCCATGAACATGGAATATCTTCCCATTTAATTGTGTCCTTTTCAATTTCTTTCATCAACTTTTTATAATTTTTATTGTAAATTGATTTCACTTCATTGATTAAATATATTCCTAGATAGTATTTTTGTAGCTATTGTAAATGGGATTGCTTTCTTGATCTCTTTTTGAGATAGTTCACTATAGGCATCTAGAAACACTTCCTATATTTGTATGTTGATTTCATATACTGCAACTTTACTGAATTGGTTCATTAGTTCTAAAAGTTTTTTGACAGCACTTGTAGATTACATTGTCTGCAAACAGGGACAATTTGAACTCCTCCTTCACAATTTGGATGGCCTTTCTTTCTTTCTTTTGTCCAGTTGCTCTGGCTGGGACTTCCAGTGATATGTTAAATAAAAGTGGTGAAAGTAGGCATCTTTATCTTGTTCCACATCTCAAAGGAAAACTTTCAATTTTCTCCCATTCAATAAGATGTTAACTGTTACCTATAGCCTTTATTGTGTGGAGGTTCTTTCCTTCTATCCCTAGTTTGTTAAAAGCTTTTATCAGGAAGGAATATTGAATTTTATCAAATGCATTCTTTGCATCTATTGAGATGATCATTTGGTTTTTGTCCTTCATTTTGTTAATGTGATGTAAGGTGTTTATTGATTTGCCTGTGTTAAACCATTCTTGCATCCGTGAGATGAATCCCACTTGATCATGGTGAATGATCTTTTTTAATGATCAAAAGATCAGTTTACTAGTTTTTTTGCTAGAGTCAATTTACTAGTATTTTGTTAAGGATTTTGCATCTATATTTATGTAGGAATAAATTTAATTGATGAAGTGAAATGTATTTACAATAAAAATTATAAAACATTGATGAAAGAAATGGAAAAGGACACAGTTAAATGGGAAGGTAGTCTATATTCATGTATTGGAATACATTGTTAAAAAGATGATACTACCCAATGTCAAAGATATTGGTTTATAGTTTTCTTTTTGTGTTGTTTTCTTGTCTAATTTTGATATCAGGGTAGATTCTTTACTTAACTCATTCTTTACTTAACTCAGGGTAGAAGGAGTTTGGAAGAATTCCCTCCACTTCAATTTTTTGGAATTGTTTAAGAAGCCATGGTATTAGTTCTTTAAATGATTGGTAGAATTTAGCAGTGAAGCCATCACTGGGCTTTTCTTTGATGGGAGGCATTTTCATTATTGAGTCAATCTCGTTACTTATTATTGGTCTGCTCAGGTTTTCTATTTCTTCATGATTCAATCTTAGCAGGTTGTATGTGTTCAGGAATTTGTCTATTTCTTCTAGGTTTTCCAATTTGCTGGTGTATAATCATTTGTAAGAGTCTCTAATGATTCTTTATTTTTCTGTGGTAGCAGCTGTAATAAATCAAGAGATTCAAAAGCCCAGGAAAGCAAACAAGAGACCACAAATTGTAACCAAGTCAAGAAATTTTAACAAGATGCAATAATCTCATCACATAAATGAGTTTTTGAGACCAAGTTTTAGGAGAGAAAAATTTAAATACTCTTATTCAGTTTAAAAATATGAAAATTTCAATACAGAAGAGTGACAAAATAAAATATTGCTCTATTTCTAGCAATTTGGTCAGGTTAAGTCTGAATGATAGCTTTAGTACAGTATTTTTCTAGAAACAATTCTCACCCAGCCCCTATTTTCTCAGATGATTACAACTTCTTACAAATCTCACCACCACCTAATCCCCATCTAATTTACATATAGAAAAAAATGTTAACATTATTTTATTATATTGTTCTACTGTTTTAAAAACCTGGGTACCTCTTTATACTCTTGTGAGGATCAGCAATCTGTGAACCATGTGTGCAAAGGTGTTATGAGACACTGTTTTAAATGGTAGAATGAAGGCTTTCTCTGGACAATATTATGAAGTTCCCAGAGGTTATATCTTCATTCTGTTACTCCTTTTCCCACAGTGTTCATTTTTTCTCTTCCGGATTATTTTTCTATTGCTCCAAGTGATTTTGAAGCAGCAATAATGAACCCTTATTTCAGCTCTGCCTTTCTCTTATCTACTCTGCAGTGGGACTATGGCACTATGACCCTCAACAGTCAAGTGGAGTAGGGTAGACTCGCTACAAAAAATGGTCATCTGCAGGTTCTTTTTAATTCCTTGATTTCCTAGGTTGAACAGTTTAGGGCATCAGTTTGTGAGGAGGTTAGGGAGAAAAGACAGGGGAGATGGTGCTTGACTATTCTACAAGAAGTCCTGAAGAATATAAATCAACCATTTTTAAGAAATTTATTATTTTTACTCCAAAAGTAATACAATATTCATCTTAACAAAAGTTGGCAGTGCAAGATCATGGGATTCCTAGAGACAAAGCCATTGAAGGATCTCAAGGCTATAAGGGATACAGTCAGATTAGTTTTTTTAATTCTCTCTAGGTCTATGAAGAATTCGAGTCAACAAAGACTGGTGAATGACTACATGATATTTAAATAGAATTTAAAATACTGGATTAATTTAATGACTAAGGTCAATTAGATATATTTTCTAAATAACAATACTGTCCACAATAAACCATTTCTTATTCTAGCCAACTGAGTCATTGAGTACATAGAGAAGAGAAGAAGAATCTTGATTCAGGAAATATGAGAAATATTTAAAATAAAAATTTTGGTCTAATTTCCAAAAAGAAGACTAAAAACAACAAAAAAAAACACCCTTTGAATGCCTTTCTGAATGATCATCTGAGTGTTGAAATAGTAAAAATCAGCTGAATTCCTAAGTGGTGTAAAATGCCAGTTTTTAAAATAATCATTCTCTATGCACACACACACAAAGTAAATTGCATTTATCATCTAATATGCTAATTTGTTTACATCTAATCTCTCTTATTTTCTGACATTGCTCTTTCAGAGCTCTCATTCCTTTTGTATAGATTTGGGTTGTGTGTGTGCGTGTGTGTCTGTGTGTGTGTGTGTATGTACTACTGATCTTATTTCTGTTCCATGTTACTATGTCCAGAGTTGATTCCTTCCACTGGGTTCATGGTCTCGCTGACTTCAAGAATGGAGCCGCAGACCTTCAGGTGAGTGTTACAGGTCTTAAAGATGGCATGGACCCAAAGAGTGAGCAGCAGCAAGATTTATCGTGAAGAGCGAATGAACAAAGCTTCCACAGCGTGGAAGGGGACCCGAGCAGGTTACTGCTGCAGGCTGGGGTGGCTAGCTTTTCTTCCCTTATTTGTGCCCCCCCCCCCCCACCACGTTCTGTTTCTGACCTATCAGAATGCCCTTTTTTCAATCCTCCCTACGATTGGCTACTTTTAGGATCCTGCTGATTAGTGCGTTTTACAGAGCGCTGATTGGTGCATTTTACAATCCTCTTGCTAGCTACAGAGCACTGACTGGTTTTTACAGACCACTGATTGGTGCATTTTACAATCCTCTTGCTAGCTACAGAGTGCTGATTGGTGCATTTTACAATCCTCTTGTAAGACAGAAAAGTTCTCCAAGTCCCCTCACTCGACCCAGGGAAGTCCAGCTGGCTTTGCCTCTCATTTGTTTGGCTAGTTTTGGTTTTCAATTCATGTTTAAGAATGGACTTCTGGGTCATTATACCTAGTTAGCTGTGTGAATTTCCTTCTTTGACCCTTCAAGAACTTACATTGTCTGAAAGCTCCATGTTTTGTTCAGCAGCTTCCTACCTGCGATAAACAGGTGGTAGGCAAACCTGCTTTTGGAAAAGTTCCATCAAAATGCTACATTTATCCCTTAAGTTCTAGTGTCTCCTCTAGAAGCAATAGTTTTTTCCAGTGAAGTCGCCTTTTATTCCTTTTAAAGAAATCATTTCTAGAATTTGCTTGTTGCGGGGGTAAATGCCTGACTTCCTACGCGCTATGGGTTTGGGGCTGCAGCAGTGCCAGGCAGCCTGTCTCATCCCCATGTAATTCGCATATAGAAAAATCTTCTATTGGCATTATTTTATCATATCCATTGTTTTAAAAGCCATGATGCCTCTTTATATTATACTTTAAGTATCAGCAATCTGTGTGGCAGGTATGCAAAGATGCCATAAAAGATTATTCTAGGCCGGGCGTGGTGGGTCACACCTGTAAACCCAGCACTTTGGGAGGCCGAGGCTGGCAGATCACACAATCAGGAGTTCAAGACCAGCCTGGCCAACATGGTGAAACCCCGTCTCTACCAAAAACACAAAAATTATCAGGGTGTGGTGGCCCACGACTGTAATCCCAGCTACTCTGGAGGCTGAGGCAAAAGAATCACTTGAACCCAGGAGGTGGAAGTTGCAGTGAGCCGAGATCGAGCCGCTACACTCCAGCCTGGGTGACAGAGCGAAACTCTGTCAAAAAAAAAAAAAAAAAAAAAAAAAAATTATTTTAAATAGCAAAATTAAAGTTTTCTCAGAACAATATTATGAAGTTTTATCAATCATCTATCTTTTGGAAATTTGTTAAATTATCGTATCTTCCCCAATCTCTAAATTCCGTTTCTTTTATGCTTGTGTGATTTATTCTTTTAATGTCACTTTATTGGGGCACTAGGAGTAAATGGAAACCAATGCCCAATAATGCTGAATAATGACTACTCGTATTTATATTTACATTTACAAGTGTTACTATTTTTAGAAAAATGAGTTGAGAACACAAGTTTTCATTAATTTGCTGTAATGCCATTTCTTTTACCAAGAAACATAATTAGAGTAAATATACTTTCTCACCATACAAGAGTCAATGTAAAATAGCTTCGAATTCACAGAAAACTTGAACTGTAGCCCAACCACAAACTCACATATGTCTTTTGGGAAGATGTATAATCTCTCTGAAGCAATGCCTATTTCATGGGTATATACATGTATTTAAAAAAACTTGAAGTATGTGTGATATACAGAAATGTCTGGAATAGAATAATAAGAGCTCAATAAATATTGATATAGACATACGTGTAAGTATAGATGTTGATATACAGATATAGATATAGGCATAAATATAGATGATATAGATACAGATATATGTAGATATATACAGATGTACATTATAGATATAGACATATAGATATAGGTATATATGGATTATATATATGCATCTATATACACATGTCTACACACACAAACATACTACATCCACACACACACATGCACACACACACTAAGCTAAATGCTTAGGACTACACTAGATCCTGAGGATGGAATAGAGAGAAAGATAGACATGGTTCTTGTTTTCCAAAACCTTTCAGGTAATTAAACAAGCAATTTCAACGAAGTGTAGTAGCGATATAGAAGAAGTGGAAGTTTGTTTTAAAATATTGTGATTGTATGTGGGTGAAAAGTTTTCAAAAACATTTCCAGAAAATTCTTCCAATGCTTCGCAGCCATTCGAAAGACCTCAGACTGCCTATTTGTGGGCTGTAATACCCCATGGGGCTCATCAATTCATCAGAGTCAGGCTGAATTATTTATTAGATTAGAGACCTACAAAGAGAACACCCAGTGTGAGTCAGGGGGCGCTGTTGCTAACTCCAGGGTTGCCTGCTGGCTCTTTGAGGCTTTGCTGAACCCGCGCCCCGGTGTGGGAGGCCCAAGACAAAGGATACAGACGAGGGGGATATTCAAACACCACAGTTCAGTTCTCTTTCATTTTTAAGAGCCACAGTGTTGTTTTCTTCCTGCCTCAGGGTCAATCTGTAATGATGTTTCCTTCTACCACAGAGAATGTGATGCTAAATCAAGAAATTTAAGCAAAAGGAAACTGGAGCAGCTTCTCCTGTCTTTCCCATTGAATATACCCTGAGGCATGAACAGGAGTCTCTCTCCCTGTCCTTCTTCCTTTCTCAGTGTTGCCTTTTGACACGTTTGCCCCCATCCCAGACTACGTCTCACTCTGACACTAGAACTTAGAATCCCTTCCTGAGAGATTGCACTGAATAAAAAATCCTCTGCATGTTAAGCCAGTACAGAGAGCAGCTGGAGAAATATCAATATAGTTAAAATGGAATCGGGAATTTAAATGATTCAGAAACGATACATTTTAAAACAGCATCAAAATAAGCACATTTCTGGGATTGAAAATAGGGGGACTGACTCTGTCGGATTAAATATTAAATAATGAAACTAAATAAATATAGCACCTGCTTTTTAAAACACATGCAGCATATGGCTGGGCATTGTGGCTCACGCCTGTAATCCCAACACTTTGGGAAGCTGAGGTGGGTGGATCACTTGAGGTCAGGAGTTTGAGACCAGCCTGGCCAACATAGCGAAACCCCGTCTCTACTAAAAAAGAAAAATACAAAATTAGCCAGGCATGGTGGCATACACCTGTAATCCCAGCTACTCGGGAAGCTGAGGCAGGAGAAACTGGAACTTAGAAAGAGGAGGTTGAGGTGAACTAAGACTATGCCCACTGCTCTCCAGCCTGGGCAATAGAGTGAGACTTCGTCTCCAAAAGAAAAAAAAAAGCAGCATAAAGTAATGCAAGAAAAAACAAAGTCTAGTAAAATGGCAAATATATCTGGAAATGACTTTCTGCAGATTAAAAAAGAAACCCACTCAAAATGTAGGTTTTGTTCCCAAACATTTACTGTCTTCTGTCTCTTTCTGCCCAGTATCCACAGGCCATCCCTCTAGCTGCACATTTAAAAACCAGATGAAAGTGCTTTTCTACAATGTCAATCTAATAATACCCTTCTAGATTCACTTTGCTAGGCTCAGTGCTTCTCATTTTTAAAAGAATATCTAAATTCAAAGGGATTTGGATTATTGTTATATTTTAAAATTAGTTACCAATAATTTTAATTGCTTTGTTTCAATAAATATTTTATTCCTCAAGTATGCTTTTTACAACACTTTTTTGAGAACAGAATATAATTGTGTCACCTATAAATAATAATTAAATTTAGCCTACTGAGATGGCTGGCACTTGCCTTGGAAGGCACGAAAAGGAGAACTCCTTACCATTCAGTTTTAAGTTTCTTTGAGGTTGTCTGGTGTCACAAGTAGGGCATGCAGCTTAGAACCACCCTTCAGAATGTGTTGCATCTTTGCTTCCCAGCAAAGTTTCCAACTTTCATCAAATTAGCACAAACAAAGAGTCCATATAAATAGACCTTGGAAACTCAGAGGATGGGAGGGTGGAAAGAAGGGTGAAGGATGAGAAATTACCTCATGAATACGATGCACACTCTTCAGGTGATGGCTACACTAAAAGCCCAGACTTCACCACTGCAATTTACCCATGTAACAAAACTGCACTAGTATCCCCTAAATCTATAAAAATAAAATAAAATACTTGGCAATTCTCTGGAGGACCTTATTTACTCAGATCAACCAAGACTGGATGTTTTATTGAATATTGGCAATATTTTTAGAGGTTATGAGTAATAGTTCAGTCTTATCAATAAGATTTATTAATATATTACAGAGAAAATTTTATTCATCAGAGATCCAGGGTATCTGTCTTGGGCTGATCACTGTCAATACTGAGTAGCAGAAGTGGTCCGCATTGCTGGGAGGGTTCTACAACGGCCTTCTGTCAGCAACCAAGACTTTGGAAAGTGTTGGGGTATGAGCAAATTGAATTATCAAGACTGCAAAAGATTATTCATGAAGTATGGTTGTTCCTCCCCTCTGCCACCCTAAATCTTCAAAATGCTTGTGTGATCTAATGTTGGGGAGATAATGGAGGTTTAACATCTCAGTATGATGTTGGATAGGACTGTATAGTCCACAATGTTTCTGAAGTGGAGACAAAGAAAAAGCAAGAGGAATGAGTCATGGGAATGAGGGTTTGACCTGCCCAGGACTGTGGACCTGGAGATCAAGATAGTCTTACTTCAATCACCAAGGGATGAGGTGACTCTCCATCTACTACACAAGCTATGACTGCATGACAGAAATATACAATAGATCAGAAAATACTACTGGTTTAAAAAATAAAAAAATGCAAAAGAAGTATTGAAATAGTATGGTTTCCCTGCAAGACCAATGTCAACTCTATCCAAAACCCCGAGCTACAAAGCATTTCATGCACACTTTGCAATATGATTTAAAATAATATCCATGGGTAGTCCTTTCTTCACACTGAGCCAGGAGATAAAAATGAGTCATTCTACCCTAAGAAAGAAGGAAAAAACATTCTGTTCCCATCCGTTGCTTGTGAATTACTATTTTATTATAAAATGTTCTTTCAAAAGCTCAGTAGTACAAACGTGTACCATAGAGAGTATAAGCAGTGACCAAGAGCAACCCAGAGTTGTGGATCAAAGAAGCTACAATCTAGATCCCTGTAACACCTTTGGCTGCATCTCCTTCTATATCAGTTTTTATGCAGAGGTAGAGCTACATTAAACAAAATAGCTTTGTCTTTATGCTTTAATTTCAAATATACATTCATGTGCACGCATGCGCGTGCCTGCGTGTGTGTGTGTGTGTGTGTGTGTGTAGCACAATATAGTCTCCATTTACAACAGAAGATGTTGGCAAATGCAATTGCAAGTAAGAACCAGTTTTCTAATAGTGCATCTCCACACAAAATTTCTTCATTGACAAGGTTGGAATTTCTTCCTTTAATTAAAAGTGAAAATAGATCTTCCCATAGGAGATTTTAGATAACATACTTGGTTGACATTAGGCTTGACATGAAGTTGTTGACAACCATTCATATCTACTGTTCCTGATGTTCTGCTCTGCCATCCAGTTTAATGAAAGGCTCTACATTTACTGGGAGTAAATACAGATGTTCTCACTTTGCATCTGCTACAACTATCAGCTTGTTTCCTTGCACTGCCTTTAAATTATTCCCCAAGGTCACAGAAACATCAGACACATTTTTATTCAAAGTTAGGAGTGAAATAAGAAAATGTTTTGGGACAATTTAGATGGGGTTGGTGGGGAGGAGACCCTTGATTTTAATCACTAATTGAAGTGCTCTATAAAAATGAACCATTGAATGACGAGAAATTTTGTTTCATAACTTGAATATTTATACTTTTATTGTCTACAACAAACACTTGGGGGAAAAAGCCTTTGCTTTTATGTAATAAAAATAATAGTTTTCTTGTCATCACTGAATGTAAATGACAACCTGATAGATTAGATATAGCAAATAAATTAACCATAATTTAATGTTAACCAAATGGATGTATATACCAGGTACGTGCCCTGTACTATTTTAAATTAAATAAAAAACTCATCATAAGAAATAGCACCACTGCAAATCAGAAAGCCAGAAAGCTTTCTATGTGGCATGCTGTCTCACAGATCATTTTCATTATAAAAATATTAATTTGACTTGAGTCCAAGTCTTCATTACTCTTTGATATATAAAATTATACTTAATGTCATCTCTAAGTTCCTAGGTTAATGAAACAAGTTTAGGAAATGGCCACTGTAAAGTTGAAGGTTTGTATAAAGATTTCTAATGTTCTGAACAGCAAAAATAATGATTTTATGTCAGCAAATATTTTGTTACCTTTTGTATGAGATAATGAAGAAATTCAAATTGTACTTTCAGAAGATTACAATTTTCATTCAAAAAACAGAGAAGGTCTTAATGAGCTAAAAGAGTTAATATGGCTATTTTTTTCAATTTCTATATATACCTGTTATGATCACTGTGTCCAAACCACATATCCTAACCAAATCACAGAAGTAACATACCAAAAAATGCTTCTTCTAAGTTGTGGATGATGTAGTGTTATCAAATACTCATCACTATAGCAGCTTAAAATAAATTCAGAGTTAATGGTGGTAAACCAGAGATTGCATCCTTGTATAAAGGACTTCATTTTTATTTGGAATGCTACACCTCTCCTTACAAATAAGAGACAAGAAAGAACAAAATCTCCATGGATGTAAGAGAAAGAGATTGGTAACTGGTGAGATAGAGAGAGAGAGAGAGAAAAATGACTTGCATTTATGATGTTGTATATAGTGAAGAAAATGTTTTTGTTCCTGTTCTCAGAGAATCATGCACTCAGGTGCAGCTTTGTTGAATAAAAGCTGAAAGTGGGTGTGGTTGGTAGACAATAGTCAAAGTTCATCAGGAGAGCCAGGTGAAACTGTAAGATTCATTTAACTAGCTAAGTAACTTTTTGTGTATCCAGAAGCCAATGGCAAATGTAGAGTGCCCAGCTGCAGTTCAACAACAGGTTACAGTCAGGCACTTGGTTTTAAATGCCCTCTTCACTATTTACTTGGTAGGTGACCTTGGTTACTTTATTTCCTATCTGAGTTTCATTTTCATCACCTGTCAATAGGGGATAATAACTAATCTAATACATTAACCTGTAAGGAAATGATGTGTATGAAGTAGTCAATACATATTGGCTTTGAGATAAATGTTTTTTTGATTTTCTACCAAACCACAGATAAAGAAAACAAAAGATATTCTCATGAGGAGGAATGTCAAAATGAGGCTGAACACTAAGCTGTTTAAAGCCATATGTTATCAATACATCCTCTCCCATGTTAAATACGTAGGGAATAAAATCACATGAAGGCAGCCTTCTTTTCCAATCGCCCAGCATAAATGGAAAACACACTGCAAACAGGATGAGTGGCGAGATTCAATAGAATTAAACGATGCTGATTCTAAGTGCTGATTCTTCACATCACAAAAGGGACCATTCCTTTTATTCAGAATTTCATGTTTAAAACATAAAAATAAAACAAAGATATATCACAGCCATACTGCAGTGATTCATGCCAGATATTCTGCTTCCCCATCATCTTTTTATAGGTTGAGAGAAAAGAGAGAGGAAGTGGAGTACAATGTAAAGCAGCCTATAGTACCTCTACTCTTGTCTTTTAACTGAGATGAAAAATCCAAATATAAAATAGAGGAATGAGGTTACAAGGCATAGTATTTATTCTAGCAAATACATATTAATGATTACCAGCTGGAAAAAAAGGAAACGTTCTTATTCTACCCTAAGAGTCAAATGAATAACACAAGCACGCCTTATTATATGGCCCGTCGCTCAATTGTGCTTCACAGATACTGCATTTTTTACAAATTTAAGATTTGTGACAACCCTGCATCAAGCAAGTCTATGAGCACCATTTTTTCGAAAAGCATGTGTGACTTTGTGTCTCTGTCTCACATTTTGATAACTCTTGCAATATTTCAAACTTTTTCATTATTATTAATATTAGATCTGTTATGATCTGTGATCGGTGATCTTTGTTGTTACTATTATGATAGTTTTGGGGTACCTAGAACTTTACCCATATAAGATGGCAAACTTAAGCAATAGATGTTGTGTGTCTTCTAACTACTCTACCAACTGGTCATTCCCTCACCTCTCTCCTTCTTGGGCTCCCCCCACCCACACCTGAGACACAATGATATTTAAATTAGGCCAATTAATAACCTTACAATGGCCTCTAGGTATTCAAGTAAAAGTTGCATCTCCCACTTTAAATCAAAAGCTAGAAATAATTAAGTTTAGCGAGGAAAGCATGTTGAAAGCTGAAATAAGCCAAAAGCTAGTCCTCTTGCACCAAACCGTTAGTCAAGTTGTGAATGCAAAGAAGTTCTTGAAGGAAATTAAAAGTGCTATTCCAGTGAACACAAGAATGATAAGAAAGTGAAACAGCTTTACTGCTGATACGGAGAAAGTTTCAGTGGTCTGGATAGAAGATCAAACCAGTCACAATATTCCCTTAAGCCAAAACCTAATCCAGAGCCACCCTAACTCTTTTCAATTCTTTGAAGTCTGAGAAGCTGAGGAAGCTTCAGAAGAAAAGTTTGAAACTACAGGGGTTGGTTCATGAAGTTTATGAAAAGAAGGTGTCTCCAAGTGCAAGATGAAGCACCAAGTGCTAACGTAGAAGCTAAAGCAAGCTATCCTGATCTAGCTAAGCTCATTGATGAAGGTGGCTACACTGAAAAAAAAGATTTTCACTGTAAACGAACCAGCCTTCTATTGGAAGAAGATGCCATTTGGACTTTCCTAGCTACATAGGAGAAGTCAATGCCTGGCTTCAAAACTTCAAAGGACAGGCTGACTCTCTTGTTAGTGGGTGATGCAACTGGTGACTTTGAGTTGAAGCCAATGCTCATTTACTACTCTGAAAATCCTAGGGTCCTTAAGAATTATGCTAAATCTACTCTGCCTGTGCTCTAGAAGTGGAAGAGCAAAGCCCGGATGAAAGCACATCTGTGTACATCATGACTTACTGAATATTTGAAACCCAATTTTGAGACCTACTGCTAGAAAAAAAAGATTCTTTCAAAATATTACTGCTTAGTGACAATATATCTGTTCACCCAAGAGCTCTGATGCAGATGTACAAGGAGACTCATGTTGTTTTTATGCCTGCTAATAAACATCCATTCTGCAGCCCATCAATCAAGAAGTAATTTTGACTTTCAAGTCTTATTATTAAAGAAATATATTTTGTAAGGTTATAGCTACCATAGATGGTGACTCCTCTGTTGGATCTGAACAAAGTAAATTTAAAACCTTGTAGAAGGAATTCACCATTCTGGATGCCATAAGAACATTTGTGATTCATGGCAGGAGGTCCAATTATTATTAGCAGGACTTGGGTACAAGTTGATCTAACTCTTATGGATGATTTTGTGGGGTTCAAGACTTTAGTAAAGGAAGGAACTGAGATATGGTGGAAGTAGCAAGATAACTAGAATTAGAAGTGGATCCTGAATATGTGACTGAATTGCTGCAATCTCATGAGAAACCTTGAATGGATGAGGAGTTGCTTCTTATAGATGAGGGAAAAAAAAGTTGTTTCTTTTGGACCTTACTCCTGGCAAAGATGCTATGAACAGTATTGAAATGACAACGAAAAATTTAGAATATTACATAAATTTAGTAGATAAAGCAGTGTCTGGGTTTTAGAATTTTGACTCCAATGTTGAAAGAAGTTCTACAGTGGATAAAATGCTATCAAACAGCATTGCATGCCACAGTAAAATATTTCATGAAACGAAGGGGCAATCGATGTAGCAAACTTCATTGTTGTCTTATGTTAAAAAATTGATACAGACATCCCAGCCTTCAGCAACCATCATCATGATCAGTCAGCAGAATCAACATTGAGGTATGATTCTCTACTAGCAAAAAGATTATGGCTCGCAGAAGCCTTGGATGCTTCTTAGCATTTTTCTTTTAGCAATGAAGTGTTTTTAATTAAGGTATGGACATTGTTTTTTAGACATAATGCTATTGCACACTTAATAGAGTACACTATAGTGCAACATAACTTTTTTATGCCCTGGGAAACAAAAAAACATGATGTGACTTCTTTATTGTGATGGTCTGGAACTGAATCCACAATATTTCTGAGGTATGCCTATGTATAAAATGGCATAAAAATGATTCCACCTAGTTTATGAAGCAAATTGTTCCCTGTGAACCCTTTCCTAATGACAGCCTATCTCCATAGGGATTGAAAACTAACTCTATTTCCTAAGCTCTCTGATCATTTTTTGTCTTCACACAAAATCTTCAGATAAAAAGAGTGGCTCTTGGTACCAATATAACAAGTCTTCATATGTATGTTTTATGCCTTTTAATGCAATTGTTTGAAAGGTTTCAGCTGATTCCTAATGCCCCAGGAGTTATTACTGTCAATAAATATATGGGTGAAAAGTGTAAAGCAATTATGCATGCTAAGAGTTTAAACAATAGTAAACATAGAAAAATACATAGATAAAGTATTATGACTTCTGACTTTAAAAATAAATATAAACCTCAAAATGCTGACAATAGTTGAATTTTTTGACCAGCTTTGAATAATTTCTAACAAATCCTATTTTATTAATCTACATTCTTTTGCTTTATGCAAAATTGGAAGAGGTTCTTCAAATATCTTTCTTCAAGAAAAATATAATTTGAGTCCAGAAACAATGTTTCATTCTCTATTTAACACTTTGAGTAGGAATTACATGGGTATGGGACTTGTTTTATTTTTAAATTTGTGTCTTTATTCAGTTATCTTGTACCTTAAGAAAACTATATATATATATATATATATAGTTATAATCTTGTGCCTGCTAATATAAAGAGAGTTTATAATATAGAAGGAATATTATAAATTAGCTCTTAGGTATTACCAATAAGTATATTAAAAGAGATATTACAATATTAGTTCATTATATTACCTTGATTAGGAACCCAGTATTTATTTTATTAAATACATATTTTTTCATTAAATTTTAATAGCATTAGCCACATTCTTGGTTATGATTATTAATAGTTACCTTATTTTTGTTCTTTTTGTCATTTGAAATTCAGTTAACTTAAATAGCTGTGGTGTTTCACTGTGAGTGATGAGTAGTCCACAACTCCTTAAATTTTCTTGTCAGCACTGCAAAAGTAATACCTCTCTCTCTTGAAATTTTACTATTAAAAATCTATTGCAATACCTACTCACAAAATTTTTTAAAAGATAAAAATGAACCTGCTTTTTCCATACTTTCAAAAGACTAATAAGCTAATATAACGTGGATTTAATAAGGCATCTATTTCCTTTGAGTTGCAACAGTTAAGTGGCATAGAGAATCCAAGGTTGATCTAATGACAGTGTTATACAATGCATTGGTATTTTTCACTGTAGAAAACAAACTCCAAAAGACATGATTCTGCTGTATTTTTCTGAAGAATATAGACATAGAGCAAGAGAGTTCATGTGTGGATGGAAGCAGGTCTGGCCTCTTGCATTATTTTACAACGAAGGCATAAATAGCAAGAGGAGTGCAGCAATCCTTAGGTGTGCAAGGTATTTGGAACACAACAGGATATTTGACAGCCTGACTTCGTGCACTACACTCAAATAGAGCCCTTTAGACACCGAGGAACACTGTAACCTTATAAGTATTCTATCAGTGCACTTGAAAATTTCCTTCCAGACTATACATATTAAGAGTTTGAGTTCCAATTTTAATTATGTTATTAAATTGTGGAATGTGTGACATTTGTGCCTCCGTTTCCCAATCTGTAAATCTGTACTATTTATGCAATCCCCTATTTTATTTATATAACAGTAAAGTTAAAAAATGAAATATGTAAATTTTGTAAATAAATAGACCCCCATGCATAAACTTCATATTTTATCATTTGGGTAAAGTTCTGGTATAGGTAATCAATGAAATAACAATAGTAAAGGTTACTTAGAGCAAAATAAGGATTGCTCTGCTTCTAAAACAACACCCACATTGACTTACGTGTCTTATTTTTGTTTTAGGGCTGGAAATTTCTGACCTGCTACCAACATCATCTCGGTTTCACCACTGTCAACTATGAGTTATTCTATTAATTGACTAGGCAGAATCCTAGAATTACAGCCTTTCAGGAGCAGGAGAGTATTTAGAGATCATCTATTTCAAGTTTTTCATTAAAAAGCTGAAACAGTAGGAGAGGTGAATAAATTAAAATGGAAAGTAATCTGGTTGGCAAAAAAGAGATTTTATAATAATAACATAATACAATAACCAGAGGAGCAACCAGAAGGGAGGCTTTGGAAAGGACTGAGAATTCCACCAGATATAATAGTTATGATGAGCCAAACATACTTTGAGTTAGCATATGAATTATATCACGTGGCTTCAAGAATCACCCCTGTCAGGAGAATTTTCACCTACTGCATGAAAAGACAATGTTCCAAGAAGTTTTGTTAGAATATTATCTAGCCAGAACTACCTGGCCATGGTGAGGCCAGTAGGAATTTTATTTAAAATGTACATTGCTGGGCCTCAGGCTCTGGAGACGTGCTTGGAAGCTAAGCTTTCAACAAACACTCCAGGAAATTCTCCTGTACACTAGGGCTTAAGAAGCAGAGGACTGTGATTTTGAATTTATAAACTATTCATAATTTGTCCAGAACCATGACTTCTGTTTTCTTTTCACTACATATTTTGTTTCATAATAGTTAGCAGTAAAATATATTATATGTGTCTCTTGTTTATAAGACTGCATTCTAAATTCTGCTGTTATTCCTTAGGGGGGAAAAACTCATAAAAACAAAACAGAGGATGAATATTTTGAAAAAAGAAAAGAATCCCCAATAACCTAGGAGAAGGAAAGGAGAAGTGACTTGATTACTGCCCAGGGCAGTGACTGAGAGGCCACGATCAGCCGGTGATACCCTCAGCCACTTCTTTGAGTAGTAGAATAGAATGATTTGAACTAGAACAGAAACTTGTAGATCATCCTATTTCCTTTCTTATTTATATAGGGCTGGAATTCCACAGCTTCTCTTGGGAACTTAAAACACAACTTTATTTACCTTGTACTATGTAGTTTCCTGCAAGAACTGAGTCTCAGTTAGGGACTCAATGAGAAAGTCTGGAAAAATAGGCTGGGCATGGTGGCTCACACCTGTAATCTCAGCACTTTGGGAGGCTGAGACAGGGGATCACTAGGTCAGGAGTTCGAGGCCAGCCTGGCCAACATGGCGAAAACCCATCTCTACTAAAAATACAAAAATTAGCTCGGTGCAGTGGGAGGCGCCTATAGTCCCAGCTACTCAGGAGGCTGAGGCAGGAGAATCACTTGAGCCTGCGGGGAGGAGGTTGCAGTGAGCCAAGATCGTGCCACTTCACTCCAGCCTGGGTGAAAGGGCAAGACTCCATCTCAAAAAAAAAAAAAAAAAGTCTAGAAAAATAATATCAGAACTGAGCAACATGGTGAATTCAAGTTAAAATAGTTTTGTGAATTTAGAAAAGCATATAAAATTCTATAAACCTTAAAACTCATCACTGGTAAAATTAAAGTGTTGAATAAGATGCTTTCTAGTTCTCATGTTTGGGTGACTTGCTATATAAGGGAGTTGAAATAATCACTCTCTCCCATCCATCACGATGAAATCTCAAGAAGGATATGTTTTGTTATCAAAGAGAATATGGGGTCCACCAGGACTCAAAAATTGGCCAGCCAGAGGAAGAGAGTTTATAAGAGAAGAAAGAAAAATATAAATAGAACCACGTGAGGTCAGTTGCTGTCGTATTTCTGATCTTTCCTTGCTTGTCCCTTTGTGTGTCTTTCCCACCCCTTCTTCACTTCAGTGCAGCTGGTTTAGTAGGCCAGGGTCTGAAAGTGGCCCCTTTCTAATGTGTCTCCTTTGAACTAATCTGGGGAAAAGAAGCAATGATACTCAGGTTGGCTTCACACCTGACCTTGAGCTAAAATGTCCTTGATGTTTACACATGGCTCAGCACACTAAAGTACGAGAACCAGGTTAGGATTTGAGGGCAATGATCTTAGTTAGTGATTAAAAACTGTTGTCTTTCTTGAACCTCTTCCACATACATATCCATAGGAACCCATTCAAAAGGGAGACCTAATGGTATTTGATTAATAAGGATACATACAGTTATCATTTCTCTCAGGATTAATAGCTTCTGAGTGCAATATTCACTATCAACAAAATAGAGCTAACGTTCTCTTTAGATTGTCTTGCAAACAATTAATTTGTTTCTATTTCTGTTAAGTAATTTCCTTTGGCTTAAACAATTTGTCGCTAAAGATAGCCATTATAATTGAAATAAATTATAATCAGTCAGAAAACTTTTGTTCCAATTTAGCACACAGACAGAAAGGGTTCCACATTCATGCAAGAAAATCAGGTGGAAAACTCGTGAATGATATGGTGTGGGCATTTAATACAATGGAAATCTCACCAAAGTGCTACTAATTCCATGTACTTTTCTTTAGAGACTTTTGCACTTAATTATAATGATTTCATAAATATTAATAGAACTTTCAATACATAAAATAATTTGTCCTTTTCAAAAAGGACGAGGTAAGCAGTAAGTAAATCTAACATATCTTAATGCACTAAAATGTATTACGTTTTCAGCAGTGTTTTCGTCAGATATCAGAATTAGACTACATTTTCAGAACTATATGAGATATGTTTCTGCATATTTAAGAAAAATGATGAACATTCACACACTGAAAAGTCTGCTTAAAAGAAAAACTGCATAAGCAAACATAACTCTTTAATTAAATAAACTAGGACATTAAAGTCTTCCATTAAACCTATATCTTAAAAAGTTTTTCTAAGTCAAGTATTTGTTTCACATTAAGAACTACATTATGTCTGTGACCTCAGGGGAAAAAAAAAAGTTTTGTCAAATAATCAGAAGGTACAAGCTATTTCAACACTCAAGAATCTTCTAGACTTTTTTCTTTAAATTCCCAAATGCCATAGTGTTGAAACAGACTCTTGTCCTTTGATGATGAACAATACAGGAAGAAGAAAAAGAAGTTTTTTTTGTTTGTTTTCTGTTTTACCCAAACAGTCCAAAGCTTAATGATGTAAACCCAATTTCAATACCGGATTATATAAATATAACACCTCAGGCCATGATAATAACAAATTTTCAGAATGGTCAATAGAGTGACACATAGGTAACTCCAATACTCTTTATGAAATGAGCACTTGCTACAGAAATTGAATCGAGCCTGTCAAGTAAATGGCCTTTATACATAAGGAAGCTAGGGAGCTGTGGAATAAAGTGAGTAACTAGAGAAAAATTATTACTAATACAGACAGAGTCTTCATTTTCTAAAATACAGAGACCTACTATTGTAATAAAAATGTAATTTAATTTATAAAAATTCAATTTACAAATGTATTTTCCTGTGTAATTTTCAGCAGTTTATAGATGTATCTGTGACAGTGAAAATGATTATTACATGGAACCACCATGCAACTCAGCAATTGTACTGTTAGGTATTTATCCCAGAGAATGAAGGCTTACAGTTACACAAAAACCTGTACACAAATGTTCATAGCAGTTTTACTCATAATAGCCCCAAACTGGAAATGACACAAATGTCCTTCAACAGGTGAATTGTTAAAAAGAAAAAAAAAAAAACCTGTAGTATATCGATACCATAGGACACTACTCAGCAATAAAAATGAAAGAATTATTGATACACAATGATAAGGATGAATCTTCAGAGAAATATGCAGACTGAATAAAGCCATTCCCAAAAGGTTACATACTACAAGATTATATTTATATAATATTTATGAAATAACAAAATTGTAGAAATAAGGAACAGATTGGTGATTTCCAGGGGTTAAGTTTAGGGAAGGAGTGAGCTGGAGGGAAATGGGTGCAACCACAAAAGGTAAATGAAGAAATCATTGTGGGGATAAAAATGTTCTGTATCTTGACTGCATCAATTTCAGTTTCCTGATTATTATATTATAGTTTTACAAAGTGTTATCATTGAGGTAAACTGACTAAAGCCTACATAGGATCTCTCTGTATGATTTCCTTACAACTGCATGCGAATCTATAATCATCTCAAAATAGAAAGTTTAACTCTAAAGAGGTGTTTATAATAAACTTTAATTTTCAATTTAGAAATTCTTCTATTTTCTACATGAAATCCCAAGGAGTTAGGTATGTTTCATATAATTTTAAATTAAGAACATGTAGAGTATTATCATTAAATACTAGTCATTCAACTTTCAAATGAACAGGTGCATGGAATTGTTACCATGGAATTATACATGCTAGTTGAGCTTCTGATGTATTTTTGTGTGGGGCCAAACAAATGATAAAGTTGTTCTAATTACTGAGTATTAGTAAATATTCTTTAAGTGGAAGCATTTTAAGGCCAAATAGTACTTTTCTAAATGTCTCTCTAGTCCACACAAACTTCTCTAGAATTGTTATCACTGAAAGGCATTTTTACTACTGCTACATTGAATGTGCCGCTATATCAATAACTCTGTTCAGTGGGTGACATTGCAAGCTTGGACAACAATTGGGAAATACTCTTGCCAGCAAAAGCATGCAAACCATTCCTCTTCTCCTTCCTGGTAGAGGACACTAATTAGGCACAATATAAGTTGGCAGCTAAGAAAGAATAGAACACAGAAACCAAGATATATAATTATGAGACCCCAAAGACTCACTACAAGTCTCAGGTCCACACAAATGGATAAAAATAATTCTGAAGTGAGGGGTACAAAATACAGACATGAGGAGAGGAAGTAACCCTCTGAGCCAGGTCACTATAACGTAAAAATCAACAAAGGACAATCTAGACCAAACCAGAGCAAAGCACATCTTTCAAGAACTCTGGCTAACAATGTATTATTATCTTTGCTTAATTAAGGCAAACTGAAAGTTTATGTCCAACTCCCACATATATCATGTGCGGTTGTCTATAAATCATGCATAAATTACTTATAGAAATTAATTCTATTCAATTAATACATTAATTGAATAAAATGTCTTATTTCTAAAATGAAGACTTTTTTCAAAACCCAAGTTCTTTGTAATGCACTTTATTCAGCATATGACCATAAGCTCTACGGAGTTTCAATTTTAAGAATAAAATGGAGAAAGTAAAGAACATTAAAAGATCAGTGACAGGCTACAAAACAAAATATTCTGCATAGGACATGGTCAAAGAAAGTAGGGTGCTGGCCTAGGGAAGGGTTAAATCAGGGACTGGAGCTTTCAGACTTCAAATATCTGAATGTCTCTCAGGTGCAGTGAAAACTGTTGAATGGTCATGAAGTTGGCTCAACACAAAGTTCAAAACCTTCCCAATGAAGTAGCGGAGTTTCTTGGAAGGTAAGTTCTCAATTGTTGTCCAAGCAAAGTCTAATCAATTATTGAGTAATTATATTGTGTAATGTGTATAATTATATTGTATAATGTGCATTAGATAAAAAGTTATACTACATGAAAGTAAGTGACCTAATAGTTTGTAGTAAACACAGTGTATGTTTGGCAATTACCACTTCAAGGAACTATGTCATACATTATTTATTACTTGCATAATGTCTGTCTTTCACCGGAATATAAGATCCACTGGGAAAGGGGCCTTGCCATTCTTACTCCCCACTCTATTCCCATGCCTGGGAAATGATAGGTTCTCAATGAATGCTGATGTATGAACAATGGCATTTCATTTAACCATCAGTCAACCCTGTGAAGTAGACACTGCTAGCCCCATTCCATAAATGATGAAAATTAGATTCACTAAGGTCTAATAAGTTGTCCATGTTTTCCCACCAGAACTAACCAGCCTTGACTCTAAAACCCATGCTTGTTACGCTACGTTTGAAATTTTCAGGATGGAAAGAAGCCAAAGAAAAAGCAATAGGTAAATAATTCTGGTGTGCTGCTGTATAGAATCTTCCTCTTTCCCTGCCTCACTTGTTGCCATGGTTTCTTTTATCAGCACACCTACCAATGCTAACTTAGCTATCAACATAGCCACTGTACTGAAAATAGGAAACATTTCAAATAAATTAGAGTGAGGTGGGTGATCTATTTATACCTCCAGTTATATTTCTTCACCGCTCTCACTTTTGATGTGCAGAAAATGGAAATTAGGAAACAAATACAAGATTCTACTTCAAGGTATATGTGCCATGTTAGCAAATTTCAAAGTTTCAGTACCCCTGGCATGCAGTGCAATACTGGGCAAACAGTAATGCTTTATATTTAGATTTAGCTTATGTAACACAAATATTCCATACCTTTCTATATTTTTAGTGGGGTGAAGGGTGATATCAAGGCATTTATCTTCAGTTGTTATTTTCTTCATTCAATATGAGGCTTTAACTCAGTGGTTCAGAAACTTTAAATCAAATAATATAAAACTTTGTAAAATAGTAGAATATATGAGGAAAGAAAATATATTTTATATGCCTATATCTTGGAAATCTTGTTTCTTTACCTTAAAACAAAATCATAATTTAATATTATAAAACATTAGATATAGAAGAAAACATAAAATCATGAGCTCCAGCTTGGTCATTTTGCAATTGTGAAAGGTGAGGCTCAAAGAGTTTCAGTAGTCTGCATTGCAGAGCAAGTTTGTGGCAGGTTAGAAACAAAACAGAAGTCCCTTGGCTTCCATTCTAGTGCTTTTCCCTCCAAAACACCTTGCTTCTTGTCTTCTAGAGGTGCCCCAATAATTTATTATAAAAGAACTGGAACACGTTAGTTCTCTTCAAAGCACAACTCATGCCTAATGCAATGTTTAAAAGCAAATATTTTACATTTAAGCCAACATAAAGAAATCAACAGAAATAAAAATAAAACTTCTGCAAGTATAAGGAAAATACTTACATTTTGATACATTCACTACATTTAGATAGTTGGCTTCTGTATTTGACATTACTTACATAGTCTGAAAGGTAGCTTCTCTATTAGTGAAAAATATATCTATCTCACACATGTACTTGAGTAGAATCCCTCTCTCTCTCTCTCACACACACACACACATGCACACATGACAAAAGAGGTGCAAAGCAGAGCCATTATTAATTTTGTAATGAGAAATGGGAGCACAGAGGCCTTTGATCTTTGCATGCCATGCACATGACCAACTGGTATTTAATGCAGTTCAGGAAAATAAAGCAAATCAAAGTAAAGCATTTTTAATTAGTGGTTTCACTATGTGATTAATGATGCCTTTTTAAAGAAAATGCCTGTACCAGTAAATGAAAAATGCATTCTTTCTAAAAGCTGGTTTCTTCTACTTAATGACTTCTTCTAATAGGCAGATAAATTAAACAACAACGTATGAAACCTATTAGCCTGAACATTTTCACAGGGAACGAAATTGAATGTTGTGTTGCAGGTTGTTGATCAACTAATCTGAAAGTAATGAAACAACAACATCATACAAAGGCTTCTGTTAAAAAGGCATGCAACTAGCTTTAAAACAAATACACAACAGAGCTGAATCTTATTTGCATAACAAAATAAGCTGTACTAAAATAAAAAGCACATTACAAAAGAGCTTAAATTAGCCATTAAAAAACAATTCTGTTTGTGTTAATATGCTTTATTTATTTAAGGCAATTTTAACCCTATTTGACATGTCCAGAAAACAAAGCATATTCCAAGAAAGGTCAACTAGGTTGTGAAATATCGGATTAATTTATAAAACACTGGCAGTCTACAGAATTCAAAGTCAGAGACCTCTTAACATTCAGTTAAAAAAAAGTGGCTTTGTTAGTTGAAATAGTAAATAAAGACTTGGCTGCTGGCAGAGCTTAGCAGTTTCACAGATGAATGTCCTTGATGTAGCCTGAACCTCACTGAGCCTCAGTTGACTCATCTATAAATTGAAGATCATAATATTACCTACTTCAGAGAGTTAAAGCGAAGTGTGAGATGATACAAGTAAAGCATTTAATACGTGTTAGCTATAGATAACATTTTTATTAACCATCATTATTATACTATATGCCAATAAAAATTGGTTAATATCTTTACCAATTAATTATGCTTACCACCATGTAATAGGGCCAAAAAAGCAAGGATGATACACCTGCTCCTTTGAAAACTTGGTCAATTTCCCCTATGCTGTTTGTAGAAATAAATTTCCAAAATAAAACATAAATATGACAGCTGGTATGAGAGTCTTCCTGAGGCGGTCATATATCATCCATAAGTAGATGTAGAATTGGGTACGTTCTAACTTAACATGCCTTAAATTTACTTTTTTGGGGGTGAGGTTACTTGCTTATTTAGAGAGTGTTTATTAAATATATTTTGATACACTATACAATAGTAAACGTTTCCTGAAAACTATTCTCAGAATATAAAGTGTCGAAAGCTCTTATGTCCTTACTCATTACCTACTGATATCCTACTCATCCTTCAAGGCATAAATGCTATAAAGATATATGCCAATGTCAAAGTCAAATTAGGTTGTTCTTTTCAATCTTGTAGAACAGTGAGTTCATTTTATCTCTGTTTCGGCCCTTCTTTCATTGTGCTTCCTTTTACAATTGTCTCCTTGTATAGATCCACAGGCTGTGATCTGAAATGACATCAGAGTGCATTTCAATCACCTTGCTGGGGTGTCCAAACTTTTGGCTTACCTGGGCCACATTCAAAGAATTGTCTTGGTCTACAAACACTAACACTGACAGCTGATGAGCTAAAAACAAAACAAAAAAGGGTCCGTCCATAATTTTTGTGATATCTGCCACCAGAGATAAGCAAAAATGTCCTCACATTCAAAGGGTTAGAGACGGCTGCCAGAGGACTTAGGATCCTGTTGACATGATCTGACTCATTTTCTTCTCTGTTCTCTCTCTGAACCAAGTGTCTATTGCTCAGACTCCAGCTCACTACCATTTGTGCCTGCAACTATCTGGAAGGCTCTTTTTCTGGCTCTTATGTGTCCTCATCCTTCTGGTTCCAGCTAAAAACTTAGTCCTTAAGAGAGACTTTCTCAGTCCACACTTTCAAAGTATCCAAGGCACCATCATTTCTTACCTCACCATAGCAGTAGCTTCATGTCTGTTCTTCCAGTCTCCCCATACATTCTTGACACGCATCGTTGCTGGAGCAGCCTGTGATCATTTAAAAATTAGGCAAAGGAAGGAAGAAGGTGACAGCTTCATGGTTTTGGAAGGTCCCTAACTCTCCCACAAAAACAAATACAGCAAAAGAGAGGAGGAAAAAAGCCCACAGAAAAAATACATGTAGGAAAGACAAATGACAACGTATCGCCCAAGACTTCCAAAACACATGTGCATGCGGTCAAGCCACCGGAAACAAAATGATCCACTGGTTATCAGTAACCATGTGAAAAAACGTAGGGGAACAGCCAATACACATCAAAGAGTTCTAGGACCTATGGGGGAAAAAATCACAAATAGGTAGCAATCCTCAAATTTAGGGGTGTCCACTTAGCGTGGAAAGTTCAATTGGCTAATCTGAAAACTACAGCCAAATCTGCAACTAGTCTTCACTTATGGGATGTGCAAGGGAAACTCACAAAGTTTGGAAGAGTCTGGACCCTATAAACTAACCAATCTAAGCAAGATGCTCTTAGGGAAAATAACCCCATAAAACAGTAAGGAAAGAAAAACAACATTAACCAAAAGAAAGAAGAAGAGAACGATTTATAAGTTAAAAGTAGTAATGAATGAGTTTGAAAATAAAACAAAAACAGAAAATAGGTGAATATATCTAACTCCGATTCTACAAAAAAAAAAAAAGAAAGAAAACCCAAACAGAAAAACCACCAGCCAATCTAATCAAGCAAAAATGAGGAAAACACAAGTACACAAAATCACAAGAAAACCGTGAAATTGAAGAAATGTATGGAATGATACTACTTTTTATTAGGTTATGCAAATGAATCAAACATGAAATATATGATTTTTTGGAAAACACATTCTTAAAACATTTATAGTATACATGGCGTAGTGGGATGCACCATTAGGTTCTTTATTCTATTATGGATGCACACAGGCATACACACACAAGGGCACACATGCACACACACAAGTGCACACACACACACACACACACACACAATGGTGCAATCCTGAAGGCAGAAACCTGAATCTTTCACGTTTTCTGTAATGTATTCTTCATTAGGTGGAAAAAAAGTCAAACAATAATTTCCAGAGTTGTATGGGAAATTTTTTGTCCTACACAAGAAAGAAAATCTGTTTTCAATTGGAACTTTAAGCAGAAAGGGCCCCAGTTGCTTTAAGCTCCCCTTCTCATTACCACATAATAAAAAGAATTCTTATCTCTAGCAGAAAAAACGCAGTCACAGAAGAAAACACAGGAAGAGGGATGTTCAGGGTGTAGAGGGAGAAAGCTATAGTATCACTTAATTGTAGTACTTTATAAGCAAAGGAGAGCAAATAAAAATCTTCCTCAGTAATCAAGAGACTCACCTAACACAGAAGGACTCCCACAGACTTAAGGTAAAGGGGTGGAAAAAGACATTTTAGACAAACGGACACCAAAAATGAACAGGAGTAGCTATTCTTATATCAGACCAAACAAACTTTAAAGCAACAGCAGTTAAAAAAGACAAAAAGGGACATTATATAATGATAAAAGGCCTTTTCCAACAGGAAAATATCACAACGGTAAGCATAAATGCACCTAACACTAGAACTCCCAAATTTATAAAACAATTACTAATAGACCTAAGAAATGAGATAGACAGCAACACAATAATAGTGGGGAACTTCCATACTCCACTGACAGCACTAGACACATCATCAAGACAGAAAGTCAACAAAGAAACAACGCATTTAAACTATATCTTGGAACAAATGGACTTAACAGTTATATACAGAATGTTCTATCCAACAACCACAGAATACACATTCTATTCAACAGCACATAGAACTTTCTCCAAGATAGACCATATGATAGGCCACAAAACGAGCTTCAATAAACTTAAGAATATTGAAATTATTTCAAGCACTCCTCAGACCACAGTGGAATAAAACTGGAAATCACCTCCGAAAGGAACCTTCAAAAACATGCAAATATATGGAAACTAAATTACCTGCTCCTGAATGATCATAGGGTCAAAAATGAAATCAAATGAAAGTCAGCGCCTGGCCGACTTTTTTATCTGTGTGGCTGTGGGCATGTCTTAGGGAAGACGCCTGTGCAATTTCCCTTATCTGTGCCACAGGGTGTTCTTTTGTTTGAAAGAATCTAACTGAGGACCCACCCTAACTGCCTACCGGACAGGTTTCTTCCTTTCTCCTCTCCCATCCATATATTATTTGCTATATAACAAAATTAAATATATTTCACTTAAGTCTTACAAAATTTAAAGAGTACAGAAATTAGGTTCTAAAGACTTCATGAAACTAAGTAAATCACCACATGAATTTTGTTCAAATACCATTATCTGATTCAATTTGTGAGCCTGGATATATTTTTCAAATAACACTTTTTTTTTTTTTTTTTGAGCTAGAGTCTCACTCTGTTGTCCAGGCTGGAGATGGGGTTTCACCATATTAACCAGGATGGTCTCCATCTCCCAACCTCGTGATCCACCAGCCTTGGCCTCCCAAAGTGCTGGGATTATAGGTGTGAGCCACCACGCCCAACCACATGTTCTTTAATAAATAAAGTTTGTATAGAACTTTAATGGTTGCAAAATGCTTTTATGAACTCTGAAAGGAAGAGTGATGTTACTATTTAGTATTAGAAAACAAGTGACTTGCCCAATATATCTTGTCTAGTTTACATTTCCATTTACAAACGGACTGTTTTCTACATCTTTTCATGGTATGTCTGCTTTTTAAATTTAAGACAAGTTGATGTGTTATATGAGATTATTTCAGGTTATTCAGGCTATTTTATACCTGTGGCCATTGCTACATAAGTGCCACTTGAGTTCCCCATCACTGAAGCAGCAACACAAGCACACGCCCATTTATCTAAAAAGCCCCTGGTGAAACCACCTTCACAAAAATTATAACAGAAAATTGTGACAGTGAACGAGATCAGACTTAACCAACTCCATCTTGCTTCTAACCTTAAGCTATCCTTGTTCATTCTTGGGTGTAGGCTAAACTAACCTTGGAAAGGAATTTAGTTTACGATTTGACTCTGAAACAAAACTGATAATAGCTCTTTCCCAAAAAGACCACCTTCTTGCCTGGGGACCAGTCTGCCTTTGCAGGAATAACAAATTAACTACAAGATTAGAAATTATGGTTTAGGGGTCATGCAGCCTTTGGCTGCAAGAGTCTGAACCTCCCAAAAATTATTCCTGGGGATAACATCACTGTTGTAAAACCTGAAATCAGTGCTTGAGATATTTTGCATATCCTGGACTCGATGGATCAGCTGATGCTACCCAGACTGGTAATCTGGTTCAACCAGTTCTGTAATCCCACCCACGGAACAGAAGACAGCAAGAAAACTTCACTTTGACCCCACTGTGATTCCATCTTCAATCCACCAATCAGCACTCCCCACCCCACTTCCCGAGCTTCTTCTCCCCAAATTATCTTGAAAAACTCTGATCCCTGAATGCTCAGGGAGACTAATTTGAGTACTAATAAAACTCCTCCGGTCTCCCGCACAGCTGGTTCTGTGTGAATTACTCTCTCTCCATTGCATTTCCCCTGTCTTGATAAATCGGCTCTGTCAAGGCAGCGGGCAAGGTGAACCCATTGAACGGTTACACTAGGAAGCATCTTGCTCCTAGCTGACAGCCTCTGACTTGGGAATTCTGGTGCTCAACACAAGCTCTGAAAATTTGTTTTATATCTTTCTATAATAAGAGCTGAATTAATGAAGAACTTAGTTCATGATTATTTGGTGATTAAAATTTTTAATTGTCGGCCAGGCGCAGTGGCTTGCACCTGTAATTCCAGCATTTTGGCAGGCCCAGGCAGGCAGATCACCTGAAGTGAGGAGTTTGAGAGCCACCTGGCCAACATGACGAAACCGTCTCTACTAAAAACACAAAAATTAGCCAGGCTTGGTGGTGGGCACCTGTAATCTCAGCTACTCAGGAGGCTGAGGCAGGAGAACCGCTTGAATCCGGGAGAAGGAGGTTGCAGTGAGCCGAGATCAGGCCACTGCACTCCAGCCTGGGCAATAGAGGAAGACCCTGTCTCAAAAAAAAAAAACAACAACAAAAAAAGGAATTAACCATTTGTTACTAGGGATAAAATTGACCAAAGAAAAAGAAGCTAAGTATCTTCTTTAAAACTGCATTTAAAAGGTGGTAAAATTCACATAGCCATAGATAATGATGTGACTTTTGAACAAAGCCTCCTGAATTATGAAACACTCTGATCATTTATTAATATTTAATCCATTTTTATTTAGAATAAAACATGTATATATCATAAATAAAATTAGGTTTATAAAAATATCTTAAAAATGGCTTTAAGCTTATCATTTTCATAATTAAAATTGTTTTTAATTTGCAAAACAGGATTTTCTGTCTTCTAGTGTAGGGAAGTTTAAACTTTCCCTCTGAAGGAATAATGAGGTCTGCTGAAATAAAATAGCAATAAACAGATTAGCAGGAGAAAAAACATGTTAGTTACATGCATGCACACAGGAACCTCACAGAAGAATACGAGACTCAAAGGACCAGAGGATTGAAGTTTCTAAGCATAAAGGAATAGCGGCTTGAGCTTTGGAGGGAGGTGGCAACAAGTTGTGAGAGGAAGAGGGGAGGCACTGCAGGGGAACACTGGTTGTCTTACTATGCAAATAAAGACTCTCAGGTGATAAAACTTGTTTGAGGGCAGCCTCCCGGGGAATAAGTGATAGCCAGTCCGGGTGCAGGGATGACTTTTAATCTCCTCTCTGTGATTAATATTCCCTGGGTTTTGGATGAGATTCTTAGGGAGGGGTTCCAGACAATTGCATTCCTTTTGGAAGAACTTCCCTGCGTCAGATAATAGAACTTCAGAGAAAGCCCCTCCCACACTTGTGGAGGAGAAACAAGGGAAAGTCAGAGAGACCTTGATTGTGAGGCAGCTTCTAAGACCTTCCAATTTCCTTTAATTCAAAGCACTCAGAATGCCAAAGCAACATACCTTAAGGTATCATTTTCTGAGCCCCAACACTATTGACTGACTAAACACTAGTCATGTGTTTTGACCTATGGGATCTTGGCTAATTAACTTTCATAAGGAGCTACTGAGTTTATATAAGAATAACATCTTACATAATATTTCAGAATCAGAAAATTGTAAGACATTTACAGGAATCATGTTTACTTTTTCTTCATATTTAGGAAATGGTACCATCTCAACTTAGCATTATAAGAAGTGCTAAAGTATTCTGATTGCTTCAAGTTGGGTTTTATGGGAAGCTGATAATTGTTCAGGATGTTTACTAGAGGAGTGTTCCTGAAATTGGCACCTGTAGAAGAGGGGAAAAAGAAGCCAGATTAGGCAGAGAAGTTGAGCTGAAATGCAGACCAAACAAAAGCCACAGTTGACCTTATATGGAGCTTTAGGACTAAGAAGGATTTTCAAAGAATCCATGTGTAGATCAGTCATGGAATGCAGAATGTCCCTGAAGTACTTAAGACCCAGGACAACACAGTGTTCTTCAACTGAAGCATATGTGGAGACTGATGCCTCGCGGGCATCTTTAGGTTGCACTCCTATCTGCTTAGGGAACAAACCCTTCACCCTTGAAGGGAGAAATACTTGAACAGCAGATAACCTTATTAATTCCTGTGGACTTCTAATGTTTGATGTGGCTGAAGATTCCAATGCATTGTCTAGCCATACGCCTCACCTCTCTTTCAGGTTTGACAGCAGAGGCTTCAGTCTGGTGTAGTTTGTTATTCTAACCCCTCACTTTCCAAGACAGTGCTATTGTATTTGCTATTATTGCTGTCAGAGCTGTCTGTGCATGCTCATATCCCTCAGGCCTTGCTATTTCAGTGTGCCCAATCCCCAAAAGCCTAGATTTCCATCTGCTAATAACTGCATATGCTTGTTAAACAGCTTTCTCCCAAACGTTTGGCAAGCACTCTGTCTGTGCATTGTGTCGTCTAGAAGTGCCAGGGAAATAAAATTCACCCTTTTCCCTGAATCTTTGTCCTCAACCACAGACTACATTGGAATGTCAATGTCACAGCTCTCTCACACCCAGATGGCACGTGTTTTACCCTTACTCACAGTTCCCCAGATGGAGTAAGCTCCAATCACCTGCAATGATAGTTGTCTGGATAACACATAACACTGGCTGCCTTTTCTTTCTGGCTCAATTCTCCATCCTCCAACTGTTATTTATTGCACCTCCCAAAACCACTATTTTCACTTATATCTTTGTCTCAAGGTCTTCAGGGGGAATCCAAACTATCTTTTTATTCTGCAGTTTTCTAAAACAGCTTAAAGTTCTTGGATGGATCCTGGAATCAGATCACCCTGCAGGGTCTCAAATTCAGATCTCAAATTCTCCAGATATTAGAAGATTTGGAGCAAACTACTAAAAAATCTAAGACTTCATTTTCTATCCAGAGTTAGCATAACTCAAGGTTAAAGGCACAGTTCTCCAACTGTCAAATTTGTCTAAGACGCCAACTCAATGAGACTGTCCAACTGTGAGGTTTAAGAGAACTGTCCCCACAATATCACCTTCAGTTCAGACACTAACTGACAGTTTGGGAGTTTCCAGAGCCACCCTCACTTCAGACCAGCTGGCTACACATTTGGGGATTCCCACAACCACCCTCAGGTTTAACAGTTCACTAAAACAAGTCATAGAACTCAGGAAGTGCTGTATTTACAATTACAGTTTTATTATAGCAAAGGATACAAATTAGAACCATCTAAAGAAAAAAATGCGTAGGATGGAAACTGGGAGGATCCCAAAACTTGAATCTCTCTTTGCATCAGGCGTGCATTAAGCTCTACAAATAGATAGATGTGTGACAATATGACCAGAGTATTGGCAACCCAGAAAGCTCATCAGAGTCTCTAGGGGCTAGTGATTTTATTGGGGTTTCATTACATAGTCAGGATTAATGGAATCAGCATCCACACAGTTGAGCTTGATCTCTAGCACCCCAATCCTGGGAGGTGAGGCTGATATCACTTGGCCCCAAACTCCAAAACTAGACAAAACTACAATCATACGTTTTGTCTTTCTGGCATGGCTTGCTCCTTTCTGAGTCATCTCATTGGCATTAATTATCAGATGTGGTACGAGGGGATTACCATGAATAACAAAGACATTCCAATCACTCTCAAAATTCCAAGTGTTTAGAAGTTACTTCCAAGTAACTAAAAACGAAGACCAGACCTCTCTTTGAGCTGTTGTTATTATTATTATTACTATTATTATGTTTTCTTTTTCTGCACATCCTATTTCATTTACCGCTTTGACAACCGCATGTAAAGGCTTTCATAGTACAATTCTCAAAATAAAGTCTTGGTAGTACATATTTGCAAATGGAATACAGAGGCATTCTAGAGATCACTTTTAAGACTTGACAAAATTCAGTTCTATTTGTTTTTCATAAAGACAATTTTAATGTGAAAACAAAATATCAAATAGTAATTTGTGGTACTGAGTGAGTACGTTATGGGTAGAACATCATCTGAAACAAACATTTAGAAAAATATGGAGTGCCAGGTACAGTGGCGTATTCCTATAGTCCCAGCTACTCGAGAGGCTGAGGTATCAGGATTGCTTGAGCCCAGGAGTGCAAGGTTGCAGAGAGCTATGATTCTGCCACTTCACTACAGCCTCAGCAACAGAGTGAGACCCTGTCTCTGAAAAAAAAAAGGGAGAGAAGTATTTCAGAAAGTGATTGTTAGGTTCAAATACAGACAAAATGAAATTAAAATAAAGTTTTTTCTACTTTAATTTTTTTCAAGTTGTTGAGGAAAAAACCATTTTATTTATTTGCTCGTTTTCTTATACTGCATGAAGACATCTGGAAAATAAGTAATATGTCCAGTTATTATCGATCACAAGATATATTTAAACTGTCAGTCTGAGAAAAGTAACTATTAATTGTGTCAACTTGTCCTACATGCAACACCTGTGCTGTGAGAAAATACGTGGAGTAAAATAAATATATGAAGACTATTAAAATCACAGATGAAACTAGTCCAACAAATTCTCATTAACATCTAGACCAAAATGCTCTGTGAAACCAATTTGTATGCTGTCAGGATTGCATGCTTTGTATTCTCTTCATAACTTTAATTTGTTTGCTATCTTTTCTCTATAATCCCTGATATCAACATTAAAAAAAAATCATAATTATAAATTTAAACCTTGACTCTATGTGGCTATTGGTCACCTTTGGCCAAAGTACATAATAATTCATAGTGAATGAATTATAAAGGTTATTTTTATATTTCCATTTGTTGTGCATGTAATTGGTATATCTATTAATTTTCCCAG
Organism: Homo sapiens; assembly: GCF_000001405.40. Taxonomy (NCBI): domain Eukaryota; kingdom Metazoa; phylum Chordata; class Mammalia; order Primates; family Hominidae; genus Homo; species Homo sapiens. Next base: position 155,972,825 of record NC_000004.12, on the reverse strand, counting down.
GGATTTTAAATAATGAATTTTTCATTGATGGGTCACATAATGGAAAATACCTTAAAATGCTTTATCTTATGACTGCACATTATCACGGAATACAACAAAGTCATTAATTTTCAACACCAATCAACACAGTAGCCAGAGTCTGGCTCGGGAATAATGTGGACACATGAATTTGCAAATTTCTCTCTTTTATGTTTTGATATATGTATGTTCATTTCACCGAAAATTTCCTATCTAAGTGTGAGTCCAACTTTGGTCCTTGGGTTGAAAAGCTTATAATGTGGAACTTAAAGAAGCCTATCTTGCTTTTTATAGTATTTTTATTATAATCAGTCCATTTGCTGTGGTTGCTTTTAACAACACTGTGTCTTTGGTGACCTGCAGTTTCACTATAATGTGTCTGGGTATATAAAATCGTTAGGATAGGCTAGATCAGAGGTTGCCAGCCTTGGCACCGATGACATCTTATGGGCTGAAAAAGTCTTGTTGTGGGGGCTGTCCTGTATCTTGTAGGATGTTTAGTAGCGCTCCTGGCCACTGTCCTCTAGATGTCAGTAGCACCACAACGTCTAGCTGTGCTAACCAAAAATGTCTCCAGACATTGACATGTTCCTTGAGAGGCAAAATCTCTGTCTATTGAGAACTGCTGTCTAGTTTAAAAGTGTTAACAACAAACCTCTCAAATATATATCAATAAATAGAGCAACAAATGTTAATGTCTCCTCTATGCCACACATCGATTACAAGTTACCCATGGCTTTGCACCATGTTCCATTAATGTGACATCTAGGCTGACAGAAGAGCCTTAATTTAGGGCATTTCCAGTAATTACGGCAAAAGAAAAAGAAAGAATGGCAAAACATGCTAGCTCCTAAGCCTCTAATCAGAAGAGACATGTGCTGCTTCTGCTTTTATTTCATTAACTAATGCAAGTTACGTTACCACACCCAATATCCACTGGGTGAACAGATATTTTCCTCTGCAGGAAGGAGTAGCAAGTATTTGGGAATAATAATATAGCCTTACACAATGTAGCTATGCTTTTAATTATTTGACTTCTTGAATTTGCAAATTATAATCTCTTATCAACTCTAGAATAGTCTCAGTATGTTTTCAAATATTTTCTCTTTTTATTGTTCTATTCCTCTGGAACTTCAATTAGCGATTTCTTAAACTTTCTAAATCTCTGTATCTTAAAATCTCTTTAATTTTTACATATGCTTATTTTTTAGTGCATTCTAAACAATATCATTAGATTTTCCTTTCAGGTCACTCACCTTCACTCTAACTTTATATAAGATCCTATTCTTTTATTTGTTACCCTTAAAATTTTAATGTGCATACTTGACTTCCTAAAGGTGTATGATAATATTTCTGTTTTACTCTTAAACAACAAAAGGGTTTTAGAATGCTTTGACCCACATATCTTTGTAATTTTTGCCTAGTATATTAGTTTCCCTATGTACTCAAAATTCCATATGTGTCTTTATCACTGTTAAATTATTATATTTTACACAAATATTTATGTAAATATATCTTCTTAAAAAAAAAAACTATAGGACAGGCACACTGGTTCACGCCTGTAATCCCAGCACTTTGGGAGGCCAAGACTGGAGGATCACGAGGTCAAGAGATTGAGACCATCCTGGCCAACATGGTGAAACCCCATCTCTACTAAAAATACAAAAATTAGCTCGGTGTCGTGGCATGCGCCTATAATCCCAGCTACATGGGAGGCTGAGGCAGGAGAATTGCTTGAACCCGGGAGGCAGAGGTTGCAGTGAGCTGAGATCAGGCCACTGCACTCCAGCCTGACAACAGAGCAAGACTTCAACTAAAAAAAAAAAAACCGTAGCTCTTTTCTGGGATGAGTTTTTTCTTAATAAATGTCATCATCTAATGGTTCTTTAAGATAAATTCTATGAGTGATAAGAATCCACCATTGTGTTAAATATCTTTATTTTAGCCTCATTATTAAATGATACTTTGTGTTGATAGCCATTTTCTCTCAGTATTGTCAAGGTTTTTTTTTCTACAATCAGTTTTTGCTAATGTAAAATTTGCTTCAGACAAATTATAATTCTTGTGAATCATTGCTTATAATTTATGGTTCATCAATGCTTCTTTTAATATTTTTACCTTCATCTTGGTTTTTCTGCAGTTTTTCTATTTATTGTTCAAGACTCATGTTTCTTCTATCTCTATCTGAGGAACTGTTTATTTATCAGTCTGGAAAAATCACGTATTATTCCTTTTAATTTAGTTTATCCTCTTTCCATTGTCTTTTCTTGTGGAACTTCTGCTAGATAAATATTACATCTCTTAGTCTATCTTTGATGCCTAAACCTCTTTATATTTTAAATTTCTTTTTTTTTCTGTACCTGACCAACTGGAAGGGGAAAGACAGATTTTTATACAGTATACGGACATTTTAAAAGATTTTATAAGCAGGTGTGAATAAATATAATACAACTGACCACTTAAATATATAGAAAAGTTTTCTGTATCATAGAAATTATAAAAAATTTTTCCAAGGCAAAGGACACAAAAACCGCACAGTCTTCTAGGTAACAAATATAAAAACAAAAATTTCCGTATGTTAAATACAAACCACTTTGAGATTGAAGCAGATAAATGCTCTTTTGCTTAAAAAAATACATTCTATGTGATTTTTCTTTTAGTTTACTAAGAAAAATTGGAATTAACATTGTAATTGTTAACCATATTATGCATTTTTATAAAAAGAGGAAATGCTCTAGGAATACTTCTAACTATGCAGTTTTCTACAAGCTTTGTGACCTCCTCCCATCCTCTAATCATATATCCTGAAATAAAAAGGAAAAGCAACAAAAACAATTTTTGAAATATGTTTTATTGATCTCTTCCTGCAATAATCACTATGATCCCAAACTTGGAGATACCAGCCAAACTTAACTACATGCCCATTTGATTGTTTTCTTTACAGCTATACCATTTCATTCCTTCTCTTTGACCAGAACTTCTCATGAGATCAGCACCAGCTGCATTGCAATAGGATTGCTTTCCTAGTAATTTTCAATGGAAAACATAAACAAGTTTAAACCTTTTACCATTAGACCTGAAAAATAGTAAAAACAAGAAAATATGTCTCTACATAAAAAGAACTAAAATCCTTAGTGGCTGATGTCACCTACAAGAGATGAAGATACAATTGATCAGAGGAGGTCAAACTTGGAAAATTCAGTTTCGCTAAAAGAAAACAAAGGTCAAAATATTTTATGTGGATAAATAACCCTGACAACTGTAGAAGATTTTCTACTTCACATGGAATGGTTTCCTAACAAAAAAGTCTGGGCCAGGCATGGTGGCTCACATTTATAATCCCAGCATTTTGGGAGGCCAAGGCGATTGGATCACAAGGTCAGGGGATCGAGACCATCCTGGCCAACATGATGAAACCCTGTCTCTACTAAAATTAGCTGGGTGTGGTGGTGAGTGCCTGTAATCCCAGCTACTCAGGAGGCTGAGGCAGGAGAATTGCTTGAGCATGAGAGGCGGAGGTTGCAGTGAGCCGAGATCATGCCACTGCACTCCAGTCTGGTGATAGAACGAGACTCTGTCGAAAAAAAAAAAAAGGGTCTGAATGCTCACTAAAATATGTGGTATCAAGCTTTCCACATATCTCTACAATTAATTATTCTCTTTCTCAGTATTACTGAACACATCAGCTAGCATTTGCTGAGTGCCTATGATGGTCAAGGTCACAAACTGTTCCCACGTTAACATTCCTAACTGGCTGTATTAGTCTGTTCTCACACTGCTATAAAAATACTACCTGAGACTGGGTAATTTATGAAGAAAAGATGTTTAATTGACTCAGTTCGGCATGTTTCTGTCGCCTAGGCTGGAGTGCAGTGGTGCAATCTCGGCTCACTGAAACCTCTGCCTCCGGGGTTCAGGCAATTGTCTTGCCTCAGCCTCCCCGAGGAGCTGGGACTACAGACGTACACCAATACGTCTGGCTAATTTTTTGCATTTTTAGTAGAGATGGGGTTTCACCATGTTGGCCAGGCTCATCTTGAACTCCTGACATCAGGTGATCCGCCTGCCTCTGCCTCCCAAAGTGCTAGGATTACAGGCGTGAGTCACTGCACACGGCCAGAAAACTTTCATAGTGGAAGGCAGAGGGAAGCAAGGCACAAGTTATATGGTGGCAGGACAGACAGTGAAAGAAAGAATGAAAGGTGAAGCCAGCTGGACTTCCTGGGTTGAGTAGGGACTTGGAGAACTTTTCTGTCCAGCAAGAGGATTGTAAGATGCACCAATCAGCGCTCTGTAAAAAGGCACCAATCAGCGCTCTGTAGCTAGCAAGAGGACTGTAAAATGCACCAATCAGCGCTCTGTAAAACACACCAATCAGCCAGATCCTAAAAGTAGCCAATCACAGGGAGGATTGAAAAAAGGGCACTCTGATAGGACAAAAACGGAACATGGGAGGGGACAAATAAGGGAATAAAAGCTGGCCACTCCAGCCAGCAGTGGCAACCTGCTCGGGTCCCCTTCCAAGCTGTGGGAACTTTGTTCTTTCACTCTTCACAATAAACCTTGCTACCACTCACTCTTTGGGTCCATGCCATCTTTAAGAACTATAACACTCACCACAAAGGTCCACGGCTTCATTCTTGCAGTCAGCAAGACCACAAACCCACCAGAAGGAACCAACTCCAGACACACAGGGAAGTGCCACACTTAAAACCATTAGCTCTCCTGAAGACTCCCTCACTGTTACAAGAACAGCATGGGGAAACCGCCCCCATGATCCAATCGCCTCCCACCAGGACCCTCCCCTGACACATGGGAATTACAATTTGAGATGAGATTTGGGTGAGGACATAGAGCCAAACCATATCATTAGCTACAGATTTCTTCTGGGTTTACAGCAGCAATATGATTAAAGAGAAAAAGAGAGAGAGAGAGAGAGAGCTACACTTCTATATAGTGGACCACACTATTAATGTTTATAGATACCATAGAGAAGTAGCCCGAAAAAAATTTCTTCACCCTCCTATAATGTCAAACAGACACTTCCAGCTAAATGATAATTTTTCTCTCCTTTGGTTTGAAAATGGGAAAGGTCACTTTGAAAGCAAATAAATGATCCATTTGTTCAGGATTGGATATCAATATATGCTCTTTACATTTAGATTGCTTTTATTTGTGCAGACTTGGGAATAGGCATGTCACTGCAGCACAGAAAAGGAAGATATAGACATCATTTAAAATCATTTTATATTAAAAAGTTGTCTTGCATTCCTTGGCCATTTGGAAACTCCAGATCCTTCTTCTCACTTAAGTTGCTGTAGAAATTACTATCTCTAATCCTACCCCTGTACTTCTGCAAGGGAAGTGCAGATAGTTTCTATGGAAGATGGGGATAAAACTAACTAATGTACCCTAAGTATCAGAGATGACTCAAATACAAACCTGGAGCCAGCTACTGCATCATCTCCATGCTTCCCTGACTCAAAGAGAAGCAGTCTTACTCCTTCTGGCTTGCCCTTTGTCCTCCTGCCAACTGACAGCTGTGGTGAGAAAGATTCTGTACTGACCCTTCCTCCCATAGTCTCCCTAATCATTAGTATGAATTGTGAGAATATAAAAAACAAGAATCCCATTCCACAGTCTCAGTCATGTTAAGCAGCATTGTGTAGGGAGAAGCAAAACAGAACTTCAACAAATAGTCCTTTACTAGGCAAAAGCTATCCTGAGGTAACCCCATTCTAAATTGCTCAGAAACACTAATACAGGAATTTAAGAGAAATGAAAACATTAACACTGATTACAGCATCTCTAGAATATGTAACAAATTGTATACTGAAGATCCCCTGAAGAATGTCATCTCTCTCATGGATACAGACGGGTCTGTAAAATAGCTGTGGCATTTTAATGCTAGTGCATTCTAAAGTTCCAGATGACAGCTGCATAGCCAACATTTTAAAGTGATCAGAAAATTCACGCTACACAATGGTCACAGCTGGACCCATCGATCAAATTGTTTTTGCTCAAATGAGATTCAGTAGTTGTTAGATAATTAAACACTGCATGTTCTGGACTTGAAGATTTTCGTCATGGGAGCTAGATTTGGAAGGAAACAAAATATAAAGCTTTCCCTGTTGCTTTAGCCTGAGATAAAGATTCTTAAAGCCCTGCATGATTCTAGGGCATTAACAGTGTCTCCTTGCAGAGCTGTGCCCTATAATTGTTGTTGGCTATATTGGTCATTAAAATTGAGAACATTTAACTGTTGGGGATTGAATTAAAATACTAATATCCATTCTTGTGAAAGCAGAGTGTTCAGTATGATTAAGAGGTTTTACTCCATTCTCCTGCAGGCTCCAAACTGAATTATCATGCAGAAAGAAGCTTGTGGCCCCAGTGGTCTCATATATGATGAACACTGGTTCCACCACTTCCACATTTATGTGCAATATGTCAGTTAAGATGACTTTCACGGCTGGGCGTGGTAGCTCCTTGTAATCCCAGCTCCTGGGGAGGCCAAGACAAGGGGATTGCCTGAGCTCAGGAGTTCTAGGCTGTAGTGAGCTATGATTGTGCCACTGTACTCCAGCCTGAGCAACAGAGCAAGACTCTGTCTAAAAATAAATAAATAAATAAAATAGACTTTCACTGGAGGACACACAGAAAACTCTGATTTTAATGGTTTAAATGATGACAGTATAAATTTTTAAAATCTGATATAAAGGAATGGTCCCAAGTTCAGTACAATCAAGGTTCAGTTCCGCTTTCATGAGATTGTCTTGGCTCTGTCCTCCCACTATTTTGTTTTGTTTTTAGCTAATAATTATTAACACTATCTATGTGCCAGCCTTAGTTTAAGTACCTCAGATATGTTTTAATTCATGTATTCTTCACAATAGTCCTATGAAGTTGACCCCTTATTTTTATTTTTACAAATGAAGGAACTTTAAATACATATTAACTCATGTATCCTCAAATATTCTCTGAAATAAGCACTAATATTACACATTTTACAGAAAGGGTAAATGAGGCACAGAGAGATTAGCCAACTAACACAAGACCATGTAGCTAGCAAGGGGCGGCGTTGGAATTTGAAGCCAGATTTTGACTCCAAATCCAGTATTCTTCACTATTAGGCCATCTAACCTCATTGTCTCAAGATGTAACTGCAGCTGCAGGGATTCCTTTCATACCTGACCATGTTGGTGTATAAGGGTGGAGGGGCTCACTCTCTTGTCTACATTTTTAAGAGCAAAAAGATCTTTACCAGAGGATCCCCTGCAGAACTTCACTCAGGTCTCAATTGCCAGGACTGTGACACTTGCCCAACCTGAATGATCAGCAAAGGGGACAGACCCACTGTGATGGGCTCACGCTCTCACCAGTCACTACCGAAGCCTCCTGGAGAAGAAAAACCAGGGCAATATTAATGCTCTGCCAGCAAGAAAACAGGGCACAATGGATGCTTGCTTAACAAGCAAAGATGTTGCCTATAGGCATCCACTGTAATGCTTAGGTTCAGGGAATATTGAAATGTGGGCTGAGTATATGAAATCAAACACCCCTTAGCTGCCCTTTCTTTGGAATTTCAAATCATGAAATCATTATGCCAGACAAATACCAGGAAAGAGTAGTGCCTGAAGCAATTGTATTCTCCCTTGAATACTTGTTACACCAGAAATTCATTCTTTCCTTTAATACATATTTGTTGAAAACCTTCTATGTGCCATTTTTATGGTACTAGAAATACAATGGTGAACAAGCAGATATAGTCAGCCTTTGTGGAGTTTACATTGTATTAGAAAAAAAATTAAGTAAATATATAAATGAACACTGATTGCAATTGCAGAGTAAAGCATTAGAGAAATGGGAGTGAGGTTAGTCAAGCAATGCTCTGAGAAGGTAACCTTTGGATCAAGGCTTAAATGATATGAAGAGAAAAAATGAAAATGGTAGCTTGAGTGTTGGGCTTCAGGGCTCTGAGCACCAGCCTTATCACTTCCAATCCCAGCTCTGCAACCACTTGGGCGTGACATCACAGCTCTGTACGTCAGGCTCTTCCACCAGAAAATAAAGACGACTCATCAATTTGTGGGGAGGATTAAATGAGTTAATACATTTTACAGTGTATGTGCTGTCTGGGTCCTGGGGACATTGTGTGTCCTCAGCAAATATCAGCTGTTATTATTATCTCAGAAATAATAGTCCAGGAGCAACGAGTCATCCTTAGTAAAGCTGTGCTTTAGAGGAATAGAAGCTGCTGGGCTGGAGGGAGTGGGGTCAGCGGATGGCAGGAGCTAAATGAACACAGAAGAATGTGATAGGAAGTAAGGCCTGAAAGGCAGGCCAGGGCCAGATCACTCTGATCAGTAAGTGTCAGCTCTGGTTCTATGCTAAGGGTTACCTTGGTTTGAAATAAATCAGAATCTCTGGGGATGAAGTTTAGGCGTCAGATTTTGGAGTTCATGAGTTGGATTCTGACCTTCAGCCAAAGAGGAAAATCACTGATCTGGGCCTTGGATGCTAAAGAAAGGAGTTTGAATTTTATTCCAAGCCATTGCGATGTTTGTGGTGCCCCACCCACTTCCTTCCTCAACCTCATTTCTGTGTGTCAAGTTCTTAACTATCTTTTGGATATGTTACACTCTCTTCAATTAGAAGAGTCTTATGACAATCTCTCCCTCCCCTGCGCCCTCCCACACTCTCTTACCTCTTGATAACACAGTGCTGCACAGATTATGTTGGAGTGTATACATGCTTATTCCTCACTAGAAGATAAAATGCTCAAAAGCAAGAATTATTTATCCTCAAACAGTGTCTCGTCCATTAAGATAAAATGAAGTATTTTAAAGAATACATTTAAGGGCTTTGCTTAGAAACAATTGCTTAGACTAAAAGCTCATGTTATAACAAAGTCCCCATGCTTTAGTCAGTCAAAGCATTCAATAAATACCCAAATGTTAGGCACTGAAAAATAGAGACAGAGATGGCTTCATCAGGTTACAGCTATTTGTTCAAATTGGGAACACATAGAGTGTCATAATGTAATTAGGAACAGGACAAAACAGGAATAGAAGCTGCATGTTTCAAATGTAATTTCTTCCACCAAGTTATGAAGCCATGAAATTATTTCCTCTAGCAATAGATGAAGTAACACATATATAATCAAAATTCTAACTTTTATATTATCATGGTATAAACAGTATCTAATAGTAATGGATTCAAGTTTGGAACAATTTCAAAAGTATCAAGAAAAATCATGCAAAAATTATACCATTCATTTAAATGAATATAAAGCAGAACTCTTTGAAGCCTCAAGTGAACATGTACTTCATGGACAAAACTGCACCTAGTTTTATGTGCATAATTTATATGTATTCATCAAGTATCTGATTCTCATTGCTGTGATGGACATCTGGTTTTGTCATAAACTTACAAATGGACAAATAGTGAATGGAAAATAAGGCAAAATTACTTTCTTGGAGTCCTAAAGTGTTTTGCAATGTAATAAAAAACAAAAAATTATATTGCCTAAGAAATAAAACTGAATTTCATGAAGAACAAAGGCAGTCACTTTACATAGGAGCTTACCTTGAACAGCAGTCTACAAACAAACTAGAAGCTAAAAATGGCCTTGTGAGTTCAGGGCTGGTAAGCATTGAAATGTCTGGCCAACTCTAGTTCACATTGTGATATATAGTTCTATTGGGTACAGACTGTCAAAGTGAGTTAGTGTCAATGAAAGAAAATGGGAGATGGACTTTCAGATGTTCTCATTCAGCTGAAAAGAAAAAATACAGTTCAAAGAGCTTTTCCTCACTGAGCTTTTCAAATAACCACTCAGTAGGAAGGACATACTGCTTGGAAGGGAGGGCTTATAGGAATACTCAGAGAACTTGATAGCTACCATCGTTTTCAAAAGTGAATCCAGGCGTTTGCTCCTGTCCTTTCACCTCAAAAAGAGTAAACAAGTGCTAAAGATAATACAATCACCCCTTTCACATTGTCACTTGACTGGTGATGTGAATTTAAATAGCTGCTTTTAAGCAGTTTCATCCAACCAACTATGCATTAACCAATTCACGATCTCCAGCTTCTTTTAATACACACCAGCCCACGATGGCCATAGCCTGCAGCCTTCTGCAGATATTAGGTCAGGAATAGCACCACAAGTCGCCCTTAAAGTTGACAGCAGAGGCATTCAAGATAATCTAGGTGGGATATTTGTAACTTTTTTTCCTCTACACATACCACCAAATCTAGACTTAATGTGGTAAAATGCAAATGTAAAATTTAGACTAAAATTTTCTGAAGTTCAACTTTCATACAAACTATACTTGTATATATTATGTATTGACAACTCTAAGTCACCTCCCATCTGTCAAATTCAGACATTCATACAATACGTGGCATTCAATATTTTGAGCAAACTCATTTTGCATGGTCTTCTGACCAATGACTTCCTTTCGGAACGTCACCTTCTTTGTCAATAAAGCAGAGTCTGCGTCATTATTTGGATGATTTTCTTGTTCATTGGGTTTTATAAAGCATTTGTTCCTATACCATCGTAAAGATAGAATGGAAAAGAAAGATAGAAGTACCGATGCTTATAATAAGAAGGACAGCCACAAAAACAACAAGGACAGATAAGATTAAGCTGATCTCAGCCAGGTTCGGTGGCTTAAGCCTGTAATACTGGTCGTTCAAGAGGCCGAGGCAGGTGAATCATTTGAGGTCAGGAGTTTGAGATCAGCCTGGCCAACATAGTGAAACCTCATCTCTATTAAAAATACAAAAAAAAATTAGCCCTGTGGTAGTGGCACATACCTGTAATCCCAGCCACTCAGAAGGATGAGGCAGGAGGATCGTTTGAGCCTGGGAGGTGGAGGTTGCAGTGAGCCGAGATCGTGCCACTGCAATCCCATCTGGGTGAAAGAGTGAAACCCTGTCTCATAAATATATATATATTTATTTATATTTCTTTATATAATATACATTGTATTATATATTATTATATTCAATATATTGTATATATTATATTTAATATTATATATTAAATATATATTATGTGTGTGTGTATATATTATATATATATATTTTAAGCTGGTCTCCTGCCTCCATAAATCCATTCATCAGGCCTCCAGTTAGAGTCTAACTGTGAACACAGAATCAAAATGTAAGACTTGTATGGAATGTTAGAAGTATGCCTTCTAAAGTTTTACCTTAAAACTTCCGGGTATAATTACAGACTTTATTTACATTTCTTTCCCCCCTTTAATTGGTCTGAAGTACAGATGTGAGTTAATTCAACCTCTTGATTTCTAATACATTATTAATAAAGTCTATATTGACCCCCTCTTTTGTTTTATTCATTTTTTTCCTCTTCAACTCAGAGATGCCTTTCTGGGTGTTGATGAGAGACTACGGCTATAAGACCAGCTATTTACTGCTTGGAATGAATCCCAGGTCAAATAAAAAAAAAAGGTCCAAATGAATATAAATGTTATGACTAAGAGCATATGAGTTCTTAAGATATAAAACTACTGAATATCTGTAGTGTAAGAGAAAATGTCCTTGATTGGTTCCAAACAGAAGGGTAATAAAATACGGAATGTAGAAGAGGCATTTGAGACTTAGGTTCAACACAAATGCACTAGTAAGACTTAATCAGATATTGAGCACAGAGTCAAATATTCACTCTCAAAATTGGGCAATTATCAAATTTGGGGAAGCTAAGGGAGTAGATAAATATCAGAAAAATTGATCTGTGTTTTTAGGATCATGGAATTCTTCAGATGGGAATATCTGAATAAACCACTCACTCAATGCTTGCTGTCAGAATTGTTCTATTAAAAGTCTCCAGCATAAAAACATTTTTAAAAGGCCATCTTCTCTGCCCAACCTACATTCTGCCTCCTCCTTCTCCCACCATTCACTTTTCACAATGGACATTGAAATATGACCTCCGAAATCTGAACCAGAAGCAAACAAAAAGGAAACTAGTCATTCAGAGTGAAAACGTGTCAAAAGAGAAGGTTTGAGTCAAATCCAGGTGGCGATGTTCCATGAAATACTAACAGAACTCTTCATTTTCATGAGAGAGCAAGAACAGGCAGTGTTTATAATGACGCATTAACATCTGTCTGCGAATATCATCTCCATGGCACCAAAGTACACCACCCAAACAAAGGAAACTCACAGTAAAGGCAAAACTGTACCTTTTTGTTTTAAAATAGGGAATTAGTATTTGAACTGACAAAGAATCATCATATACCATTGACAGGTTCAACTAAAGTATACTATTACCATAAAGTGTCTTTTCATACTAGATTAGACATAATTAAAGCAGACACAATGGAAGTTTTAGTATGAAAAATGTCTCACAGTCCACCACAGTTGGTGGCAGTAGAGTACAAGTGGAATAAGTACTGCCTTTGACACTGTATTTACCTATATTTAATATCAGATTTATCATTCATTAGCTTTGTGTCCCTGAGCAAGTTTTAATTTCTCTCGGCTTCAGTTAAATTGAGGAGAGTAATACACTGTTCACTGTAGGAATTAAATGAGGTAATAGACATAGACCCCTTGCAAATTACTTACCTATTAATGTCTGTACAATAAGTGTCAGCATTCTTTCTGCTTTCCTTACAAAATCGTCTCCATTATTCTGATCTAACTTCATAATTCCACATTCATTGTGAAAGCAGTTTTTTGAGGCTATAAAAATGAAATGGCTTTCTATTTTTTCAGTCACTACTCTCAGCCCATATCACTTGAATTCCCTTTCCCATCCTTGAATGTCATCTTGGGCAGATATTAGAACTTTCTGAATATCTTTCTGTTTAGAATTAACAAATTAGAATTCAGTCTTGTGCATATTAAAATTCCAGTCTCATATCTAATTCAAAGCTTTCCCTTCTGCCATCTCTGGCTATGCTTGTGAAGTGAGCGAAGAAAAGGGACATGTTTTGCTTTTTCCCTATCTCCTCCATGCCCTTGACAGCTTTGAGCCCTGGATAATAGTGAGCAGGAGGCTGGATTGTGGGGAGCAGGAAGATATCACTGTTTAACAGGACTCAGCTGCAGGGCTCCCAGGCCGGGTCATTGTTGCCCCTCCAGCTCTCACTGACTGGCCGTCCAGCCTTCTTCCAGGCAGACCCCCGTGCTGACCCTGTCCTTGAGCACATGTGTGTGGTCCATGGGACGCCCTCCTTGGGCTCCTGGGGCACAGTTCTCTGAGATGAGAAACCTGGGTCTAGTCCAGTCTCCAGCCCTAGACCCTCATAGTCCACCCTGAGCCCACTGCTACTGGCTTCCCCTCATGCAGTGGAAACTCCCTCTGGAGGGTTCCACTTGACTCATGAGAAACACACTTCCTTTCCATGCCAGAGTTGTGGGTGCCCCCTGCCTTATTCCTCTCCCCTCTCTCCATCTCGCCTTTTCCCCTGTTCAGGAGGGCATAAGGAGAAAAGCAGCAGTGTGGCCTAACCAGGCATCTAAATGCAAATCAGAATACCAGGCTTCCCTTTTTTCCGTTTTTTGCAGATAATCCCACCATCTTTCATTCCCTTCTCATGAATCTTCCCTGCTGCCAGTAAACCTGAGCATTGAGAAGGGAGTGCCTCTTCCTTAGATGAGGATGAGGGACTCAATACTCTCCACTAACACTGTAATTCCCAGACGACTGGCCAATTTTTCTTCCCCTCCTGGGGCACCCCCTAGTATAGTCTTGGAGGGGTTCCTCTTTTCATGGGGCTGACTCTGCAGGTGTCTGGTTGGAATGGTTCATGGTTGTCTTTACAATGTAGGGTAGGTCCTCTTGCCAGTTTTCAGGCGTGAATTCAGGCTAACAGTTTTAGGGTAAAGGGAAAAATTTTCATCAGTGCTGAGTTGCAAATGGGAAACAAAAGCCTGAGAAACAATAGAATTGAATAAATGGCAAGAAGCACAAACATTAGGTGTACGCAGATTCTGCTTTTTCCTCTGTGATGTGGTCACAAACTTACTCCAACTACAACTTTGTAACTAACGTCGTCTTCACAGCTCCCACACAAGGCAGTAGAAAGACTTCAGTCTGTTATTTCTGCTCTCCAGCTCTCCACCATGTTCCTCTCTAGACAGTGTTTGATGTGTGAGTGCAAGGACATGTATGGAATTGTGAGGGGGCACAGGGAATAGACCCTCAGGTCTGTCCTGTGTCCTTGAGGTCCATGCCAATCCTGGCTCTACATCTGATATTTCTTGGGGAGTATACAGCCCGGTTTCTTCTCTGGATGTTCTGATTAGCATCTGTGGCTGAATCAGCAGTTGACTAATGCCCAGCACTCAGCTCATTGAGGGCCAGCCACTTCTCCCTGCAGATCCACACTTTGCTTGGCTTGTGCAAGGCTAGACACACATTCTCTGTCAGGTACCTCACCCCGATAGCCTGTGAGGCATGTAATTCTACTCTCTTAACGATGCAGTCTTCCCTGTCCTCTGTGGAATTGTTTGTGTGTTTTTCTATCAATTATCTATACTGATAAGTTTCCTTTGGAAATTTCCAATAACTATTGGGTTAAGAGAGTGATCTATTAAATATTTAGTTCCCTGAGATGGTTCAGGACCGTCATCACCTCAAATGTACTTGATAGAAGAAAGAAGCCATTATTGTTTACTTTGTCATTTTGAATAGGCATTTTGTTACATTATTTGTTGCTTCAACTTTTTAAAATTTTAATTTTAATTTCAATGGTGTTTGGAGTACAGGTTACATGGATAAGTTCTAAGATTTTGGTGCACCTGTCACCTAAACAATGTACACTGTACCCAATGTGTAGTATTTTATCCCTCACCCCCCTCCCACCCTTCCCGCCGAGTCCCCAAAGTCCACTGTATCATTCTTCCGCTTTGCATCCTCATAGCTTAGCTCCCACTTATAAGTGAGAACATACAATATTTGGTTTTCCAATCCTGAGTTACCTCACTTAGAATAATGGCCTCCAGTCCATCCAAGTTGCTACAAAAGACATTATTTCGTTCCTTTTTATGGCTGACTAGTATTCCACAGTGTATATATACCACATTTTCTTTATCCACTCATTGGTTGATGGGCATTTAGGTTGGTTCCATATCTTTGCAATTGCAAATTGTGCTGCTATAAACATGTGTGTGCATGTGTGTTTTTCATATTATGACTTATTTTCCTTTGGGTAGGTACTCAGTAGTGAGACTGCTGGATCAAATGGTAGTTTACTTTCAGCTTTTTAAGAAATCTCCAGCTGGGCACAGTGGCTCACACCTGTAACCCCAGCACTTTGGGAGGCTGAGGCGGGTGGATCACGAGGTCAAGAGATTGAGACCATCCTGGCCAACATGATGAAACCTCATCTCTACTAAAAATACAAAAATTAGCTGGGCATGGTGGTGTGCACCTGTAGTCCCAGCTACTTGAGAGGCTGAGGCAGAAGAATCACTTGAACCCGGGAGGCAGAGGTTGCAGTGAGCCGAGATCATACCACTGCACTCCAGCCTGAGCAAGAGAGATACTCCATCTCAAAACAAAACAAAACAAACAAACAAACAAACAAAAAAAAGGTAAAAAAAAAAAAAACAAAGAAACAAAATAATTCCGTAGCAAAGTCACTGAAACATGAAGTAGCATGATTAAAAATGGAAGAAAACCCAGAAGGTGCATAACGGGATAAAAACAACAGTAAATATTGATTTGTGTATCATAAAGGTTAAGAGGTATTTGTGAAAATGGTTAGCTCTGGAGTATTTTCACACATAAAGAAATGACTGCATTTGTTACTGGGCTTATAACATTCAACATGAGGCTGTGGTAGCGGGCCTCCAAGATGGCACCTGATGACCCCACCTTATGTCAGCTCCACCTCCCACATCTTACCAGACTGGCTCTGTGTAACCAATGGCAGAAGAGATGATATGTTTCAAGATAAGGTTATAAAAAGACACTGCTGCTCCCACCTCAGTCATTCCCTGGTCCACTGTCTCAATTTCTCTATTCACTCATTCTGCAGGAACAAAGAGCTGGCAGGAAAAGCCCAGCCTTCTGATAAGGTTCTGAGGATTTTGTCCAAAGGCCTAAGAGGAGCTGAGGACTCTTGCTAACAGCCACATGAGCTTGAAATTGAATCCTTTAAACTTGGGAAACCTTCAGAAGATTGCAGCCATATGCAACAGCTTGTCTGCGTCCTCATGAGACACTCTGAGCTGGAACCACCCAGATAAGCTGCTCCCTCCTGGTCCACAGAAACTGTTTAAGATAAGAAAAATTCGTATTTTTAAGATGCTAAGTTTGAGGGTTATATTTTACATGGCAATAGATATCTAATACAGAGTTGAGGGAAGTTCCATGTGCTATTTTGCAAATTTGATGAAAAAAACACATCTCTACATATACATGTAATTTGTAGTGTTTATTCTAAGAATTAGCAGATACTTGCCACCTTCACTTTTCAAGCCACTTTTCAAAAACTTTGTTTTACTACTTAATAGATGATTCTGATCTCCCTTTTAACTGACCCAAAATTCTTCACAATCTGTGCGCTTCTTACTTATCTCATATTCTACTCTCCCCCATCCTTTTTTTTTTCCTTTACTCCATCCATGCTGACGTCTTTTATGTTTCTGGAACGTGCCAAGCAAACTTCCATCTCAAGGCCTTTGTGTTGACAGTTCTTTCTGTCTTAGCTTCTCTTTCCCTGGATATCTGAATATCCATGTGGCTCACTTTCTTCTCCTTCAAATCTTTGCTCAAAACTCTCCTCATCAGTGAGGACAGTATTGAACAGCTTATTTAAAATAGCAGTACCACCCCTCACACTGATGATGCTCCTTATCTGGATTTATTGTCCTTTAACACATGTACAAGTTGAGCATCTCTAATCCAAACACCCAAAATACTCCAAAATCTAAAACTTATTGAGTACTGACATCATGCCACACCTAGAAAATTTCACACCTGACTTCATGTGGTGGGTCATAGTCAAAATGCATTCAAAGCCTTGTTTTATGCATAAAATTACCTAAAATAGTCAGTAAGATTACCTTCAGTCAGTAGCATAAGTGAAACACAAATGAATTTTGTGTTTAGACTTGGGTCTCATCCCCAAGAGATCTCATTATGTATATGCAAATATTCCAAAATCTGGGGGGAAAAAATCTGAAATCTGAAACACTTCCAGACCCAGGCATTGTGGATAAGGGATCCTCAACCTGTAGTAATTTTATTGCGTCTCTCCCCCTCACTGAAATACCAGCTTCAACAGGGTGGGGCTTTTCATCTCTTCAGTCACTTATGCACTTCCATCCATGATGTGTCCTGATGACCTAGAACAATGCCTGACACTTAGGAAGTACTCAATAAAATATTTGTTGATGTAAATCAATTGAAATATCAGTCCCATAGGGATGGGGATTTTCATCCCTTTAGTCACTTATCCACTTACTTGATATATCCTCATTACCTAGAAGAATGCCTGACACTTAGCAGGTACTCAATAAATACTTGATGTGAGCTCCTGAAATGAGTTTAGTTCAAGGGGCTTTTTTACAATACCAATTATCCTAAAGTAAAGATGACTGCCTATATTTAAATTTCCTGACTCCGTAGGTTGTCAATAAACAGGGACTATGATCTGAAAGCAAAGTTCAGTTTAAAAAGAAAAGTATGTGCTTGTATGAGTCACAAAAAAGGGCTAAGTACAAAAGAACTGCTGAGGTAAACATGAACATCGTTCTGTGAACTTATGATTTAAATAAAATCTTTATCACCACACTTGCCAAGAGCAATATATCTTATCATGAACGTACATAAAAAACTCTTGTGTCTTTCCTCTTAATACTCGGAACATTATTTTTATTTTTATTACGAAGTTTGCATTGGAGAATATTGTAACTCACTGCACCTAGGTAAAAACTAAAGACATAAATCTGATGTTAGTTCTAAAAATCTACAAGGGTAATGATATGAATTTCACAGACATGGAAGCCTTGTTCAGAATAGATGATAATAGAAAGGCTCGGTAGAGCCAGGTTCATGAGTGTGTGACCTGTGCAGAAGTGGGTGCTTAGAAGGCCCATGGCTTGGGTTAATGCTCTGCTGTTGCCGTCTTGAAATTCTTCACAATTTATGAACAAGGGAACTTCATTTTCAGTTTACACGGAACCCTGCAAATTATGTACTTGGCTCTATCTTCCTTTGCAAACGGAGAAACAGGCTTCAAGAGTTTTGAAACTGCCATAATAGATCCAAAAACTGTGTATGCTTTTCACATCTGTACAATTTTGTTACGTATTTATAAACATCTGCTGAATGGATGACTCTATGTATTGGCCCACATCACTTCAGAACTAGGTCTTGAACTTAGGGATTGTGGCAAGAAGGAAAAAGGCAGCTTCCGGTGGCTCACAGGGCAGGCCAGGTGGCTCACACCTGTGAGCATTTTGGGAGGCCAAGGCGGGTGGATCACTAGAGTCCAGGAGTTCGAGACCGGCCTGGGCAATATGGCAAGATCCTATCTCTACTAAAAATACAAAAATAGCCTGGGGTGGTGGCACGCGCCTGTAGTCCCAGGTACTCCGGAGGCTGAGGCAGGAGGCACTTGAACCTGAAGGTCGAGGCTGCAGTGAGACCTGATCTCAACACACACAAAAGAATGACTCTCAGGCTTCTTTTTTTCTAATGGATGGAAGTGAAACCTCGAAAGCACATGGTCAAGTGCCTGACTCTTCCAAAACAAAAACAAAAACAAAAAAACTAGCCTCAGCAAGGAGGTCCGTAGCCTCCAGCTGACCGGATTTTCAGTCACAGAACACCGGGGACCTAAAAAAGGGTCAATCTCAGCATCGTGCACTCAACCCAGCTCCTTCCGCCCCTCGAGCCCAGGCTGGGAGGAGCCGAGGAACCGAAAGAGAAAACAGGCCGCGCGGGCGGCAGAGGAGCCGGGCGCCGCAATGGACGTGCGGGCGCTGCCGTGGCTGCCGTGGCTGCTGTGGCTGCTGTGCCGGGGCGGCGGCGATGCGGACTCCCGCGCCCCCTTCACCCCGACCTGGCCGCGGAGCCGCGAGCGTGAAGCCGCCGCCTTCCGGGTACCGAGCGCGCGCCTCCCCGGGATCTGTCCCTGCTCCCTCACTTCCTGTCCCGGGTCTGGGCTGCGGAAGAGGGCCCCCGAGAGCTGACCCTGCTCGTGGGCACCCGTGGCTCTGCGATGCGTCTGGGGCCCTGAGCTGCGGGTGCAAAAGCCAGCTTCTCTCTCCCCTCTCCTTGTGCCATGGTGTCACTCCCCCATGCCTTTGCTAACCAAAAGACTTGATTTTCCAGAAGAGATTTGTCGCTATGGATTTTTGGGACGCACCCAAATAAATCCATAGATACGTCCAAAGTGTCCTTGGTGGGAAGAAGCACCCCCTTTTAGCAATCCCCTCTATCGTTGCCACTGGCTTCCAAAGCTCTTCTATTTCTCTTTTATGAGAACCAGAAACAGGGAGCAGCCTGTTGGTGGAAGAAACCTGTCGTGTTTTTTTTTCCCGAGGAGGGCGCTAGTGATCAGAAGTTAGAAACAAAGAGCCTGTCTTTAGCCAGATTAAAGAATCCTGATGGTTTATGATTCTCCTTAAACTAACGCACCACTTTAAAAGTTCTTCCTGCCTTGGCGGAGACTGAGTTGAAGAAAAGAGAAGCATTTAATTTCCTTTTCATATTATTATACGAAATATAATATAATTTATATTTTATAATATTTATAATAAATACTTAGATTTGAGTCTAGCATGAAAACTCTGGAAGGGACCAGTTAGCTGAGCACAAATAATGATTTTCCTGAAACCAAGGAAACTGCAAGGGATGCCGATTTAGTGTTCGCCTCACTATGTTCTAGATAGCTGATACTATTTAACACATTTTTAAATTCATGAAAGATGCCATTATCATGATTTAATTTATTGGAAAAGAAAATTCTTTCATTCTGAATCAAACATAAGTCTGAGTTGAGTAATATTGCTCAAGGAAGTGTATCTTTTTTCCTGGTGTTTGTTGGAATTTCTCACAGGATTTCATAGCTGTGCTCTTTTCCCCCGACTCTCCTGGAAAGCTCCAATGTTTAGGAAGGCCAGCCTTCCCTGATTCTGTCCACTCTTACGTTTTGTCCAAACCGAGATGTGTACTGTTATCTCCACTTTATTATTCTTGAGTTCAGTTCTAGCTTTCAAAACCAGAAGTCCTCTTACTCTTTCAAGAACAAAATTCTGGCCTGTATTCTACCCCTATCCTCAACTTACGTTCGTTTTCCTGGTAAACGAAACCCCTTAGGGGAAAAGTCAGTTTCACCTTTATTGGTAACGTATTCATTGGCTAAATAAATAAACACACTGTCAGGCTCCTAAAAATAATATTTCAGGACAAAGCTCAAAGGGCTAGACTTATAAATATATTTTTAACATTTATTTAGATTTTAGATAATTTATAAATATATATGTGTATAATTTATGTAGTGACTCATACTGGTCCTGTAAAGAGGCCATACCCTGATGAATGTCTAGAAAATGTAACTTTTCTCAGGAGAAATACAAAGAAACAGGTTGAAAGATGGAAAGTTGGAAGTGGAGGAGGATCGAATTATGAAGACTCTTAGTACATTTTAAAAACCTCGGGTTAAGAAATACTGAAAAAATTTTCAAAGCAATTGCTGCCTGTAAGAATTTGCTTCATGAGATGGATACCCAAAAAAGAGAACATTGAGGCTTCAACGCACAGTTGCTGGAAACTGAACACCTCTCGGTGCTTAGTTGGACTTTATCCAAGAATGCTTTAAAACCGATTTTCTACCTTAGTGGTCCCCAATCTTTTGGCACTAGGGACCGGATTCATGGAAGACATTTTTTCCATGGACGGGAGGAGGGAAGTGGGGGAGATGGATGGATTTGGGATGAAAGTCTTTCATCTAAGATCATCAGGAATTAGTTAGATTAGTTAGCTGGAGATTGCTGTTCGGACTTGGGATAGAGAGCTGGACAGTGGGAAAGGTGGAAAGGGCCTTGCCTCCTTGGTAACCGTGAAACTTCTTGTTGAAATCAAGTTAATTCATTGGTGAATTGATGATTCAGGGGTTTGCAGCTGAAGATCTGGTTCAAGAAAGTCCTTGATTAATTAGTAATGTCTTTCATGGTCATGGGTTTAGAGAATGGTGAAGGTTTTAAAATTTGTTTTAATCTTAGCCTTAGATAGTTTTGTAAGTTTCCCAGGAATGCACGTTAAATGAAAGTTAGGTTAGCCCATGACTTTCCCACAAAATATTATAGTATTGTTCAGTGAAAACTAGACTCCACTATGGTTTATTATGGGATGCCTCACAAGACACCTGACTTTGGATGGCACCCCTTATCTCTGCACTTTCACTCCTTTAGAAACTTCCAGTGCTCAGGAAGCTCTTAACTATTGGATTTAGCCTACTCTCCTTTGTGCCAAAACCTAGCTATGCCCTCATATTTACTGATGCTCATTATTTTACCACAGAACATTTGGTATTCTTATCCTTTTGGGAGGCACAGACCCAATATTGGATCCAATAAAATTTGCTTGATACACTCACTTTAGAATAATATCTATGCCAAAGTACATGTGATTTTACATAAAATTTCCAAAGCTTTACCTTAAGACCAGTTGCCGTAATGACACAGGTTATATTATTATAAGATTATTTATATATTTAGGAATATTTATTTATGTGTAAATAGATGGCCATAGCATCTTTATAACAAGTGATCCTAACTAATGAGCCACTTATATGTGCTTGCCGTAATCAGCCCCTTGAAATCTGGAATTAGGTCCTCCAAATAGGCTTTATCCAAGAAAGCTTTAAAACCTATTTTCTACCTCAGTGGTCCCCAAACTTTTTGGCACCAGGGATTGGTTTCATGGAAGACAATTTTTCCACGGACTGGGGTGTGGGGGTGGGGTGAGGAGGATGCGGATGATTTCAGAATGAAGCTGTTCCACCCCAGATCATCAAGCATTAGATTCACATAAGGACTGTGCAAACTAGATCCCTTACATGCACCGTTCCCAGTAGGGTTTGTGCTCCTATGATAATCTAATGCTGCTGCCGATCTGACAGAAGGTGGAGATCAGGTGGTGATGCATGCTCGCAGGCCCCTCACCACCTGCTGTGCAGCCTGGTCGTTAACAGGCCACAGAACAGTACTGGTCCATGGCCCAGGGTTTTGAGACTCCTGTTCTACCTTATATAAAGATGAAAACACGAATTTGATGTTAGATAAGGTTGTTCAGCAGACTTTTTCTGATGAATCTCACTTAAAGCATACATTGACTAAATGGAAATATATCATAAACTTAAAATCATAGGTTATAATTTATTCATCTTCCCATACATTTATCCAATACTTTATTTAATTTCCACTGTGTCTAAAGAACTGGTCTGGGTTTTCTGAGGGATACAGTGGAGAATAAGACGCGTGCTGTCCTGTAAGAAATGTACACAAAAAATGAATATCGTTATGTTTAAGCATTGTATCCTGTAAATAAACATTTTCCTGTAAATAAAAAGAATGTAAAGACTTATACACTGGAGAAATAGATTCTCCCAAGTAGTTCACAAAAGAATGTATTTTTAATTCAATCTTTTTGTGTACATGCTCACACAAATCCTGACTACACATTTCTTATCATACATAGTAAACATATATCTGCAATATGTTTACACACACTTCAGTACACTGTATAGAAAATACTTTGTCTAAGAAACTTTTCAAAAGCTGTACTTTATAAAAGTGTATCCTTAAAAAGCTTTTATTGTTCTAATCCAAGGCTCCTCAACAGTGGCACTATTGACATTTGAGAATGGATAGTGATTTGTTGTGGGGGACCTTCCTCTTCATTGTAGGGTGAGTAGCAGCATGCATGGGCTCTATGCACCAGATGCCAGTGGCATCCCACCAGTATGACAATCCCCAGTATGACAAATGAGGGACAAAATTATCCTCAGTTGAGAATCACTGATCTAAAGTTTACAACTCCTAAGTCTTCCAAGAAATTCTCAGTGATGCTCTTTGTATACAAATATTTTACCTTTTTTGCTCATCCTCAGCTTTACTGCAATTTCCAGAAACGAAAGCACTCCTAAGGAGAACATTTTAAATCTATGTGTACAATTTATGATTTATCCTATGAAACTTCAAAATCTGCAAATGAAAGTTGTTAAAAGTCTGAGTAATGGAACTGCAAGACAAACAATGAGTTTAAAGTGCCGAAGATAAAGTGAGCTTCCAAAGTACCTTAGGTGTCTCTGTTAATTTCAATATAAAACTTATCCCATGGATACATGGGATTCATTGTAAGGGAATACACACATCATTGCGTATATTGATAAAGGCAAATAAATCATCATTAGTGGAAGGAAACCTAGATATCAATGGGGAAAAATAATAGATGTTCACTGCCTTTTCAGCTGATAAAACAGACATGAAGTCCCTTAAAGTTTATAACGCTTCAGTAGATTTCTTGCAGGCTAAATAACTATACCCCTCCACCAAATACTAGTTGTGTGATCTTAGGCAAATCATGTATCTGTTTCTCAGATTTATTCTTCTGTGAAGAGGGCTAATGTTAGCAATTACCTTTATACAGGGCTAAGTTAATTCATGTAAAACACTTAGAATGAATACTTGCATTCAATTTAACAATCCCTTCAACCCTTTGTATTTAGTGCATTCAGTGGCTGAGAACTTTCCTTGTAGAGAAATGAAAACTCAACAGTTTGCTCATAAAAGATTCGCTTACTCCTTTAGAAACAGTTGAGTACATGCAAGAAGAAAATACATGATTTCATTTACTCTTACTTAGTGGCAGTCTGTGAGAAAGATTTCACAGATTTTTCCCCTCAGGGAAGTAGATTAAGGAAACATCTGAGAACCCCTCAAGTCACCCTCCTTGGGTTTCTACTCTTTGATTGTTTTGAACATGACCATTTTCCTCTTAACTTACCCTAGCCGGAGCATTATCTAAGACTGTGGTTACCCACAGCTGGAAAGGTAAGAGGGCCAAGATGCCTGAGATAGCTGGAAGGGCTTTCTGATCCTGTAAGAAAAATGTTGATTTCTGAGGAATTTTAAAACTGCAGCCTAACCTCCTCATGAGACTGGTTCAGGTCTCTTGTCAATAGAGTTATCCTGTTTTATGATCAGACTGAACCCATCCTCTGTTTGTTGTTTGGCCTTGCTGGGATGTTTCATGACTACTCTGCAGTTCTTATCAACCTCCTTTAGCATACTCATGAAGCATCCTAGCTAGGCTAACAGGCGGGAAATTAGAATATGGAAGACACTGCTTAGAAACATATTACATTTAAATCACAGTTCAAATATGTGATCACCTCCAGTACACATGTGCACACACACACACACACACACACACAAAGGCAGCTTTAAGAGATTCTACCTCTTAGAAGGATGGCTGCTAGAAGTCATAATAAGGATAGCTTTAGGGACAGAGTCTTACAGGGACAGGGTCCTAGGTATGAATTTGAGAGGTTATACCTATAATAAATAGAGACTTAGTATGCACAAGACGTACTAATGCCCAAGGGACATGTTTTTCCTAGTTTTATAATCAGGATAATTTCTTCAATCTCTTGGGTTCTGAGTTACCCTTCTGTTCAGGAATCTGGTATCTCCCTTTGTAACTCATTCAATTAAACACATTTAACAACAACAACAAAAAAAAGGTGAAGGTAGTTATTTTTCACCAAATCTGTTCACCAAGGCTGTTCTGATTTATCAGCTCTAATTTTTCTCATGTAAGATCTAATTTTTAAACATCTGCACTTTTCAAAAGTATCAATGAGAAGTTTCCTATGTATTCATCAAAACTTTACGTCTTTCCTCTCATAAATGAAGTTAAGGTTCAGGTCTTTTCTTTAATATTTTATATGACTTTAGAGATGGCTACTCTAAATTTGCTCCCTATCATATCCTCTGTTGAGAACATGTGCCCACTGATCCTTTACCTAACGGAGGTTGTTGGATGTAATGAGCAGCAAGGGCCTCATACAGACTTCAGTTTGTGATGCGTCTATGAAATCTTTAATAGCCAGAATCAAGAGAGACCGGAAAAGTCACTTAAAAGAATTGATAATTCAAGAAATGAAATACAGGGCTTTTTAAATTTTAAATGATGTGAAACCCATGTTAGTGAACTTGATAAGTGTATAGCAAACAAGACAATAAATAAATAAGAGAATAGATATTCTTGGATATACTGATAGTATTATTTTACCATGAAAGCAACAGATTGCTTTCAATAGATAATATTGATCCTCATTTCTAATGACATGAGAAATACTTGCTCCAAGTGAATCTGAAAGTATGGTCTTTGAGCGCCATTTCTATAATCCAAATACTCTGTTTAAAGGAAAAGGAAGATAGAGGATGAGAGTATTTTAACTGAGCATTTATTTTGCCAGTCTCTGTAATAAGTGTTTTCCAATTATTATTTTATTTCATCCTTACATTCTTCCAGATCAGTATTACTCCATTTGTTGATGGAAATAAAGCTCAGAGAGGTTGATTATATAGCCAAAAATTGCACAGCAATGGTAAGACATTTCAAATTGTTGCAAAGTTAAAAAGAGGCCAGGCGCAGTGGCTCATGCCTGTGATCCCAGCACTCTGAGAGGCTGAGGCGGGCAGACCACGAGGTCAGGAGATTGAGACCATCCTGGCTAACACGGTGAAACCTCATCTCTACTAAAAAAAATACAAAAAAAATTAGCCGGGCATTGTGGCGGGTGCCCGTAGTCCCAGCTACTCGGGAGGCTGAGGCAGGAGAATGGGGTGAACCCGGGAGGCGGAGCTTGCAGTGAGCTGAGATCACGCCACTGCACTCGCCTGGGCGACAGAGCGAGAATCCGCCTCAAAATAATAATAATTATTATTATTACGCTGTGTTCAGAAGCCTCCAAGGAAGTACTTTTAATGTTATTAATGGTTTTGCAAAATCAAAACAAGTGGGTAGAGATTAGTGGTAGGGAGAGGACGAAGCAGAGCACTTAGTGGTTTAGAGTATTTTGCTGTTGGCAGGAAGTCAACAATTTGTATAAAGATTGAGTAGCCCTGACATGGGCTATGGAGAGCTGTGAAATGACAGGAGTCATTACACCAGAATAGCAAATGGAATTCTTTTAGAAGTTGGCTCCTGGTTGAACAAGTGGAAGACAGCAACATTTTCAGAAGTCCTGCAGACACTAGTGCCGCTGACATAAAGAACAGTGTATCAAGTGGTAACAAATAGAAAATATATGTGGAGATATTTGTCTTTTCAAACACATGGCACAAGACCAAAACCAAGTAACTGTTATTGGAATCATCATTGAAAATTAGGGACATAAATATTTAAAATAAATAAATAATACATTCATTTATTTCATTATTAAATTGGTGTTATTATAACTACTTCACAACCGGAACACCTAAACTTTGGATGGTGAAATGACACTTATAAGGCAACACAAAAATTAAGAGAAGTACATGGGAACTCCCTGCCAACGATGTATAAGTTTGTTTCATCTGGCATTTGCCAACTTGAGTGGCAATATATTGTTTCTCTCGTAGATGTCACAAATGATCTAGTGAGATAAACTTGCATTAGCTCTCCAACTAAATAGAGTATGTGGCTCAACTACTGCCTCCCCTCCCAGACACACGTGTAGAACCCACACGTACAGCATTGCCTACACTCAAGAGTCTAAAATCCATTCCTAGAATTAGATTTTCTTAATTAAACAATTTGTGTAATTTTAAGGATCTTGAAAGGGCGTACCAGTCTATACCTCATGTGCGTGCGTATGTGTGTGTGTGCGCATTTGGTGTGGTGTGGTGTGTGTGTGGTATATTCCTTTTTTGTTCTGTTAATATGGTGTATCGTACTGATGATTGATTTTGAAATTTTAAACCAACCTAGCATTTCTAAATAAACTTCACTTGGTCACAATATATTGTCCTTAACATATATTGTTAGATTTGATTTGCTATTTTGTTAAGGATTTTGTGTCTACAGCGTATTTATGAGGGATACTGGTATGTAGTTCTATTTTATTTAGATACATTTTTCTGGTTTAGAATCAGGGTAACACTGGTCTTATTTAAGTTGCAGCGTATTCCCTTCTTCTTGATTTTCTCAAAGGATAATATTGGTATTACTTCTTTCTTCATTGTATAAAGTTCACCAAAAAGCCACCTGGGCCTGAAGTTTTCTTTGTGAGTCAGTTTTCACTTACAAATTTAATGCCTTTAGCTGATAAAAGGCTGCTCAAGTTTTCTATTTCTCCTTTCATCTTTGGCAATCTGTGCCTTGCAAAAAGTTTGTCCATTTTGTACAGTTTGCCAATTTATTGTCATAAAGTTGTCAAAATATTATTCTTCTAATGCCTGAAGCATCTGTAATCATGGCTCTTCTTTCATTCCTAATATTGGTAAATTGGTTATTCATGTCTTCTCATTCTTTTCTTATTTTTTATTTATTTATTTATTTTTTTGAGTTGGAGGCTCGCTCTGTCGTCCAGGCTGGAGTGCAGTGCTGTGATCTCGGCTCACTGCAACCTCCGCCTTCCAGGTTCAAGCGATTCTCCTGCCTCAGCCCCCTGAGTAGCTGGGATTATAGGCGCCCACCACCACGCCCGGCTAATTTTTGTATTTTTAGTAGAGACAGGCTTTCACCATGTTGGCGAGGCTGGTCTCGAACTCCTGACCTCAGATGATCCACCGACCTCAGCCTCCCAAAGTGCTGGGATGACAGGTGTGAGCCACTGCTCCCAGGCTTTTTTTTTTTTTTTTTTTAATCAATCACAGGAGCAATTCCTGTGAACTAATAGGGAGAGGTCCAGGTAGAGCTATCTGATTGCAATGTAATTCTGACCCTGAGTGAAGGAAAAAAGGAAGGAAGACTGGGGAAGAGTTCCATGCTGTCTCACAGTCCAAGGAAACTTTGGTTTGGCAAGGCCATCAGGGAGTCATTAATCAAAAACCAGCTGTCAGGGGAGTCCCATTTGTCTCCCAAATAGCAAGCCTTAGCACTAAGTCATGAGCTAGGTGCAGCCCGTAAGAACTGTGGCTTCCCTTGGTGTGATCATGGAGATTTCAACTAGCAGCAGCTAAACTCCCTATAGAAAGAAGGCTGGGAGGCACATTCTCATGGCTGCCACATTCTCTCCTGTGCATTCTTAACATCCTACATTTTCAGTGCCTTCCTGACTACTCCAGCTCACAAAGATGGCCAGGCAGTACTTATTGAATGAATGAATCCTCTGAATTCCTTAGCAGTTAATAGTCTCTGGCTTATATTTGTCATTTGCCATATACAGAATTACCTTGTATTCTAGTTCTATTTTTACATTTATATATCCAGGTTATATTGAAAGCCTTGCTTCATCAAGATTATTTTAAAGTACCTCAAAAACTTTATTAATTTGTTGATTAGCAATCTTCCTAGGTATGCACAAAAGGAAAAAAAATAAGATTATGACAACTTCCAGCAATAATTTACTTAAAAATAAACAGCTTAAAGTTATTAAGGGCATGATATGGAAAATGTCACTTATCTATTTATTCAACAACAAACACTTATCAAGGATCTATTGTGTGTCAGCCATGTGCTAAGTGAGTGTCTCACCATAAGGAATAAGACATATAAGCAGTCATCATTTTGCTTATAGGTTTTTGATACAGACACACAATAAACACATAAGTACATAGACAAATATGTAGAAGCGCTAGGGTTGGAAAGGTACCAAATGATAGCCCCCTGAAATTTTATTTATTCTATGTAATTGGTTAGTATTACGAAATTGAAGCATGTTTATATATAAAAGATAAGCTTAAGATAAATTGTCACAAAATTCAAAGTTGAGAAATCAGTAAATAATGGTCACATTTCCCCTCCAGATAGAGAAACCAGGCTATCTTCTTCAAATATTTCCAGAATTGCATCTGTCACAGAGCCTTTGTACCCTACATGAGATAGAGATATCTATAAAGCTTTAATAGAATCAGATTGATTTATTAATTTATTTACCCAGTCTGTTTTTCATGCTTCATTACTTAGTTCCGGGAAACACAAAGGTGAAGAGGACATATTCCATATTCATAATTGTTTAACCACATGAGTGAATGTCTAAAGGTGACAATTTGCTTCTAGTATCTAGTGTTTATTTGCAGTCTATTTCTTTTTTCCCACTATGTCAATACTTTAACAGCTGTATATGGAATGCTTGCAACAAACCTGGTGATGGGGAATTATAAATGAATAAAATACACTTTTCTCAGCCTCAAAAAATGTCTGCAATTAGATAATAATTCTAATAGAAAATATTTATGAATCTCCTATGGATATCTTATACAACTTTACATTGTAGTCTGAAGGAAATCAAGCTTTAACTTTATAATTGAAAAATTTCTCCAAGTTAGTTATACACAGTTTACTTTGGAAAACTGACATAGTGGATATGAAATAGTTTTTGTTTTTCTTCTAGGAAAGTCTTAATAGACATCGATACTTGAATTCTTTATTTCCCAGTGAAAACTCCACCGCCTTCTATGGAATAAATCAGTTTTCCTATTTGTTTCCTGAAGAGTTTAAAGGTATAGTCCGATGTTGCTATTTAGGTGGTTTCCTGATTTTAATTTGCTTGCTTAACTTTTGATAAATATTTCATTGTAAATCTAATATATTGAGTAATAGTTAACATTTATTAAGTGTCTACTAAATGTCAGGCATGTACCATGTGCTCACATAAGAAAATAAATTCATGGCCAGTCTCTTCTAATTACTGCTTAAGAAATGAATGTTATAATTATGCACATTTCCATGTGGCTATAAAGGATAATTGTCTAATCACTTCTGCAGTTTTCTAGTGCTTTTTCTCTTCAGGACACACATGGTTCCATGGGTTATGATAGAACAAATGATGTCAATTATACTTATTTTTATTATTGACCTGGTTCTATCAAACAAATCATTTTATGTGTCAACTCCAGCCTTATTGTAGGAATTCTCTTTTGTAGTTTTTAATGAATGCATTTTATGTTATAGAAAAGCACAAGAGAAAATCTAAAATAGCAGGTCTACTAGAAGGCTACTGTTTCTTCTTTAAAAGTTCCTCCCAAAGAATCTCAAGGATATAATATAATATAATATTGGTTGTCTTTTAGTATAATATTGGTTGTCTCCCTATAATATAATATTGATTGTCTTTATATATAACAAATATATATGATATATATAATATAATATATTGTAATATAATATTGGTTGTATTTTCATTTTATGTTTCTACTCAGCCATTTATTTAAGAAGCAAACCTTCCAAGTTTCCCAGATACTCAGCAGAAGTACATATGTCCATCCCCAATGTGTCTTTGCCGTTAAGATTTGACTGGAGGGACAAGCAGGTTGTGACACAAGTGAGAAACCAGCAGATGGTACGTTGAAATCCCTCTTCTTTTCTAATCATCTAAGCATTGAAAGGCAGCTTTGAGGTCAAGTTTAATCAAAGTTGTAATGGAAACATCATTTCTCTAGGAAAATCACATCTCAGTCATCCAAAAATGACAATGAAAAGAGAATCTCTGGAGGAATGAGAGTCAAATGTCAAAGCCCTGACTTTTATTTCTGAAGATAAACCTTCCTTGCTGTGTACTCTTACTAATTGCCATTGCCACCAACACAATAACTCAGGGATACTTCCCAGTAGCTGTAATAACAGCTCAGGGATACTTCCCAGTAGCTGTATCACAGATACCAAGCTTTCTGTACAATAGCAGATGAGAGGCTGGAGAAGGTAAACATGAGCACTAAAGGCTTAAATGGTTCAAGAAAAAAAAAGTGAAAAAGTAAAATGAAAATGGATACATTTACCAACAGTGTGGCCGAATCTCCTGGGTTCTCAAGCCTCATCTTGCAAGCTCTGTCAGAAAATCTGCCCCCGTCTTCACAGGATCATATACCTTTGAATCTGTGGGCCTTAAAAGTATAGTTAGTAGTCAGTTCAGCCATAACGTGACGCATACATTCCAGAAAATCACCACCTATGCAGAATTGAGCAGTAGCATGACAGGGATTATGGGAGAAATGAGGTTAGGTTACACTACCTACGAGCTTAGTCAATGACATATGTTTTAAAAGACAGAAAACTAATAGACACAGTAGCACAGTTTTACACATGTTTACTGATTAAGAAATATGTAAGTACTGCAATAAATATAGCAATTTACCTTGAAAAGAGACTCAAAGTGTGCTGAGGACATGGGAGTTGGCAGGGCAGCAGCTTGTGAGTTATTCTGAAGTGGTGGAAGGAGGTGCCTTTGAACTAGGAAGGAAAGTGGTAAGAGCAGATGTGGGTGGGTATGACCTATAATGCATGTAGTGAACCCACCTAGCTGGCAGACGTTTGAGGGGTGTGTGCATACTTTGCTGACCTTCCCTACCCGTCTACACTCCCAACTGTTGGCATAGGGAATGCCTGCCAAACAGGCAAAGTCAAACCCCTAACCAGAGGGGATAGTCTCAGTTTGTCTGCAGTGGAAACCTCAACAGATCATTCAGCCTTCCCTTTTATGGAAAGTGTTTTGGTGCCAGCTGTTTCGCAGTCAATGTGTAGTTAGAATGATTTTTGCTTCTCAGAGTCTATATTTATTTTTGTACATTAAGTTTTACCACCAAATCATTTGCTTTATTATTGGATTTGTAATAACATGTCAATTAGACATAAATCTAATCCTTTCAAAAATTGTCCACAGTGTATTGAAGAGGGAACTTTTAATTAGAGATCTTTAATTAAAGGAATGTATGAGAGACTTTTTTTTTTTTTTAAGCAGGAACTGCCCTTGTGGCTTGACTAAAGCTGGCTATAGGGGTGATGTCAGCAGCCTGTTACCTTTTCTCTTTTTTTTTTTTGAGACGGAGTCTCACTCTGTCACCCAGGCTGGAGTGCAGTGATGCGATCTCGGCTCACTGCAACCTCCACCTCCCAGGTTCAAGAGATTCTCCTGCCTCAGCCTCCTTAGTAGCTGGGATTACAGGTGCGCACCACCATGCCTGGCTAATTTTTGTATTTTTAGTAGAAACGGGGTTTCACCATGTTGGTCAGGCTGGTCTTGAACTCCTGACCTCATGATCCGCCTGCCTTGGCCTCCCAAAGTGCTGGGATTACAGGCATGAGCTGCCCTGTGTTCACCTTTGTCAAAGTTTGGAGACCCTGCTGTATGGTCACTTAGTGAGTGTTTTTACTATGCCATAGGCACTAGAGATAGAGATATAACCTTTAAAAAAGCACTTAAAGCCATAAAGTTGCTCAAAACTTAACTCTGCAAAGATATCCAATTGTCATTCCTTTTTTTTTTTGGTCTAACTCTGCCACACATGGCCCTCCAGTTATGTTAGTTTCATCCAGTCTCAAATCCTACTCTCTTCTGCCTTTTCTGTGGATCCTTCTTCCTTTTACGTGATCCTACGATCCCTAATTTCATTCCCTCTGTCTCCTCTCTTTCTTTCAGGACTAGTTCTTTTATTCTTTTGTTCTAGTTTGTTAAGTAAAAGCAAATTAAGAGATCCACTATCAGCATGATTGGCAGCCAATACTGGAGTAATGACTAATATGGATTTATATCCTTAGGACATTTCATGTACATCCACTATAAGCATACTTAATCGGGCATCTTTATAGCCTAAAGAGTAATTCATTAATATTTATTAATTCTCTTATCTCCATCAAATAATTAGCACAACATGCATCTTTCCCCTCCTCACCCTTAGGATGGAAGTGGTGTATGACCATGGAAGCAGAGTGTCCTTAAAAAAGCAAGGGGGATGGAAGGTTGGGGCGGGAGTCGGCACACACTCTCCAGAAGAAAAGCCACTTACAAAGAGAAGTCACATATTCAGTGAACTGAATGGTCTTTTAGAAGATCATCAGTTAGCCCAAGTATTTCCTCGGTCTCTAAAAATTCACTTTTATCTTGCATTGCCAAATTTAGAATAGTAATAATGCTGACAACATGAACTAATAATTAAATGATGCTCAAAAGAGACTTTTGGTTTTCTCTTTTTTTCAGTTTAAAAATCTAGAGGATAGGCGTATTTATTTTGTAGGTTTCCAGAATCTGGAAGCCTTACTTGATTTGATAACTTGTTACATTTAGAGATGTTGGTAAGTTGATTTAAACCCTGGAAATACCACCCCTTTTTCTGTTTTTAAACAGTGTGGAGGATGCTGGGCCTTCAGCGTGGTGGGGGCAGTGGAATCTGCTTATGCAATAAAGGGGAAGCCCCTGGAAGACCTAAGTGTCCAGCAGGTCATTGACTGTTCGTATAATAATTATGGCTGCAATGGAGGCTCTACTCTCAATGCTTTGAACTGGTTAAACAAGGTGACTAGTCTCTCAACCTCTTAAACTCTTTATTTCCTTTTTTGCTTGTTTACTGTGTGTTCAAAATTCAAACAGTTTGTTCACATATATTAAATAATGTTTCCACGTTCGGAAATGTAGATGATCAAAGCATGAAGTAATTAATCAGAATATTTAAAAATGAATCACTTCTAGGCAAAGCAGTTGTCAAGAAATCAAAAGGGGAAAAATCTGAAGTCTGTCTTCAGAGAAATATTTATATTTATTTCTTAACATTTCTTAATATATACATGCTTTTTTGCAGATCTGAATATCTCATAATATCCCGGAAAGATGAGAATATATTTTTTTTATTTTCATAGAATTTCTGAATGTTAAGGTTAAAAGGAACATTAGAGACTAATTTTTTAGCTCTTTTTTGTTGTTGTTGTTTTTGAGACAGAGTCTCACTCTGTCACCCAGGCTGGAGTACAGTGGCACAATCTTGGCTCACTGCAACCTCCACCTCCCGGGTTCAAGTGTTTCTGCTGCTTCAGCCTCCGGAGTAGCTGGGAACTATAGGTGCCCACCACCACACTTGGCTAATTTTTTTGTTTTTTTTGTTTTTTGTTTTTTGTTTTTGTTTTTTTAGTAAAGACATGGTTTCACCATATTGGCCAGGCTGATCTCGATCTCCTGACCTTGTGATCCACCCGCCTCAGCCTCCCAAAGTGCTGGGATTACAGACATGAGCCACCACACCCAGCCTGTAGCTCTTTTTATAGATGAAGAAATGAAGCCTGAGAAGTGAGATCATTTTGTCAAGTCAGTAGCTGAGCCGGAGTTGTACCTTCAGTCCCCAGCCTCTCACAGTAGGGCTTTGCTCAGTATACCCCAGTGTCCCTCAGCGTTCTTAGCACTTGCCCTGACAGTGTCCCAGATCCGATATCAACTGCATGAAATTTGCCAATGAGGGTGCTATTAGTTTCTGTAGAACGTCATCAAACCAGAGTTCCCCAAACCTGAATTCTCTTCCATTATCCATTGGTTGCATTTTTAATCACGTATTCCAGGACCTGCTCTGTACACACTGTAGACGACAATGAATTATGAGTCTCCTCCCTTTCATTAGCCTAGCATTCAAAAAGGGAGGGTTTTGTACAGATAACTATGAAGTATTTGACATATGCTATATGAATGGCATAAAAGTGAAGTGATAGAAAGAATGCTTGACCTAACCGTTGCCTGTGTATAAACCACTGGATGGAATCTGAAAGACTTGGCAGAACCAGAAGCACTGGGAGGAAAGTGAGCTGCCCTATAGCACCGTCAGGAGAAAGATGACAAGACTGTTACTAGATCCATGGAGGATCTACAAAAGGATGCTGTAAGATAAAGAGAAGTAAGGGAGAAGGAAAGATATTGACTCCAAATGTCTAGACTATCCAGAACAAGCACCTAAAGATTTAATTTATAATATTAAAAACCCAAAGTATAGGCTGGGCACAATGCCTCACACCTGTAATCCCAGTATTTTGGGAAGCCAAGGCAGGTGGATTTCTTGAGTCCAGGAGTTTAAGACCAGCCTGGGCAACAGAGTGAGACCCCATCTTTACAAAAAATACAAAAAATTAGCCTGGCGTGGTGGCTCATACCTGTAGTCACAGCTACTGGGGAGACGGAGGTGGGATGATCACTGGTGCCCAGGAGGTGGAGATTGCAGTGAGACGAGATCGAGCCACTGCACTCCAGCCTGAGCAACCAAACAAAACTCTGTCTCAAAAAAGAAAAAGAAAAAAAAAAGAACGCAAAGTATATCCACATGATGAAGGTGTGTGAAATTGAACCTGTTTTGACACAGTGAAGTAAGTTCTATTTGATTTATAAAACAATTGACAGTAAACATGTTCAGTGATTGTTTTCTTTTAGATGCAAGTAAAACTGGTGAAAGATTCAGAATATCCTTTTAAAGCACAAAATGGTCTGTGCCATTACTTTTCTGGTTCACATTCTGGATTTTCAATCAAAGGTTATTCTGCATATGACTTCAGGTAAAGATCTTATTGTATTATGTTTTTCTTTATACATTTTTAATTTATGATCTATTGACTGGTTAATAATTTGTTTGAAGGCATCACTGCATACTCTTAATCCTTGTAAAACATACTTTTTACTAGAAAGAGTAGCAATTACAATGAAATGTTGTAAATGTTGTTTCTTAATTATAATCTACTTATTTTCCCAAGTGTCATTACGATAGAAATGAAAAATTTTAATTCTGTGTAAGGTACAATTTATATGTATATTTATTTGTTATATTTTATATTTTATTATACTTACAAATTATTAGTGCATAATTTATATTTATATATACCACCTTCATCTTATCAAATTTAGGTGTTATATTACCATTAGCATATTTCAATCTTAATGGTGAGTCCATCCAGAATTGCTTTGTACAGACTGTGCAGCTAATATCACGTAGGCTACATATCAGGAAGCATATTTTGAACACCTTCTATGTTCTTTGCATTTTTCAAGACATCAGCCATTTGAAAAATATAACACAAAACTTCAGATTAGAGAAAAGAGGGAAGCATATACTACTGAAGATAAATTATGTAGCATACACTATAAGCATGATGGGAATGTAGGGATAGATAAAGACAGGCTGAGGAAAAGGACTTGTGTTGGAACTGAAGGGCAGGATAACTTTGGATAGTTTTGGGGAAAACAATCATTAAAAATGCTTTAAAAACACATGAAAAACACAGAGCTGGCTGGAGACTCATCATGACCATTTGATAGAGTGCAAAATAGGTGTTCATGGGTGAAAAGGACAAAGGGAGACCCAACCAACTCCTGGCTTCATTAAGAAAATATATGATGGGAACTTTGCAGTCTTTTGAAACAGAGAAAACAGGAACTAAATTAAATTTGGATAAGGTAACAGAATCCCCTATGACTTAGTGGTCCTGAATATAAAATAATCCCTTGATCCAGATGGTATCTACCCATGGGATCTGAAAGAAATCAAGGGTGAAATTGCGTCCTTGAACAAAATGTACCCGTTTAAATGAGCATAAGTGTGCCAGAGAACTGTCAGGTTGTCAACACAGCTCCGGTCTGCAACAAGGGTCCTCAGGGTGACACCAGGAACCATACACCAGACAGCCTTAATTCCACAGCTGGCAGACCATGTAGGATTTATAATAAAATGTGCAGGGTCACTGAGTACCGTGGTCAACATCTCATTTGGGGATAAAGGTAATGTGCTTTCTAAAATCAGAAAGTATGCCCTATAAACTCTGACTTCCTTGAGAGTATAAGGGAAGGATGTGTACAAGAAAAAACTAGATTTACAAAATATCATTAAAAGGGATTAAGGGAATCCCTTATCATGGTAGGAAATTGAAAAAAAAATTAAGAAGAAGCAAAAGAATAATAGGCATTAGTCTGAATTAAGGGAAAGAGAGAATGCAGGAGTTGTTGGCATTGGGCCTTTGATTAGGAAGGAAGAGGTCCCAATCAAAATATCTTGTTTATATTGAAGATTAAACTCTAACAGTGCAATGCTAAACTGATAGCATTTGACTGCAAGAAGATCTTTCTTTGATTTATTTATTCATTCAAATATTTACTGACTTTTTTTTAAGTTCTGGGGATTTGGCAGAGAACAAAACAGACAAAAACCTTGCCCTCATTAGTAATTGAGACAGACAGTCACAAAAAATAAAAATACATGTGGCATATTGGCTGTAATAATTAACAAAGAGAACAAATGAAAACAGTGGGAGGAAGAGAAACGATCTGGTAGTAGGGGGAGTGTACAATTTGAGAAAGGGTTGCCTGGCAGGGCCTCACTCACTGAAAAGGTTATGTTCAAGTGAAGACTTGGAGAAGTGCGTGGACTTAACCACGCAGATATGTGGGGGAACATGGTTCCAAGCAGAGAGGCTGTAAATGCAAAGATCGTGAGGCAAAAACATGTCTGGCATGTTAGAACAATGATGAAGCCACTGTGGCTGTAGTGTGGAGAAGAAAGACAAGACTAGTAGGAGATGAGGTCATACTGTCCCTGTATTAGTCTGCTTTCGTGCTGCTGATAAAGACATACCCAAGACTGGAAAGAAAAAGAGGTTTAATTGGACTTACAGTTCCACATGGCTGAGGAGGCTTCAGAATCACGGCAGGAGGTAAAAGGCACTACTTACGTGGCGGCAGCAAGAGAAAATGAGGAAGAAGCAAAAGCGTAACCCCCGATAAACCCATCAGATCTTGTGAGACTTATTCACTATCACAAGAATAGCATGGGAAAGACCAGCCCCCATGAATTCAATTACCTCCCCCTGGGTCCCTCCACAACATGTGGGAATTCTGGGAGATACAATTCAAGTTGAGACTTCGGTGGGGACACACCCAAACCATATCATTCCATCCCTGGCCCCTCCAAATCTCATGTCTTCACATTTCAAAACCAATCATGCCTTGCCAACAGTCCCCCAAAGTCTTAACTCATTTCAGCATTAACCCGAAAGTCCACAGTCCAAAGTCTCATCTGAGAGAAGGCAACTCCCTTCCGCCTATGAGCCTGTAAAATCAAAAGCAAGCTAATTACTTCCTAGATGCAGTAGGGATACAGGTATTGGGTAAATACGGCCATTCCAAATGGGAGAAATTGGCCAAAACAAAGGAGTTAGAGGGCCCATGGAACTCCAAAATCCAGCAGGCAGTCAAATTTTAAAGTTCCAGAGTGATCTCCTTTGACTCCAGATCTCACATCCAAGTCATGCTGATGCAAGATGTGGGTTCTAATGGTCTTGAGCACCTCTGCCTCTGTGCTTTGCAGGGTACAGCCTCCCTCCTGGCTGCTTTCACGGTCTGGCATTGAGTGTCTGTGGCTTTTCCAGGTGCATAGTGCAAGCTGTCAGTGGATCTACCATTCTGGGGTCTGGAGGACAGTGGCCCTCTTCTCGCAGCTCCTGTGGGACTCTGTGTGGAGCCTCCAACCCCACATTTTTCTTCTGCACTGCGCTAGCAGAGGTTTTCCATGAGGGCCCTGCTCCTGCAGCAAACTTTTGCCTGGGCATCCAGGCATCTCCATACATCTTCTGAAATCTAGGTGGAGGTTCCCCAATCTCAATTCTTGTCTTCTATGTACCCGCAGGCTCAACCCCAAATGGAAGCTGCCAAGGCCACAGCCTGAGCTCTATGTTGGCCCCTTTGAGCCATGGCTGGAGCATCTGAGACACAGGGCACTAAGTCCCTAGGCTGCACACAGCACAAGGACCCTGGGCCTATCCCACAAAACCACTTTTTCCTTCTGGGCCTCCGAGCCTGTGATGGGAGGGGCTGCCGTGAAGGTGTCTGACATAACCTGAAGACATTTTCCCCATGGTGTTGGGGATTAACATTAGGCTCCTTGCTACTTACGCAAATTTCTGCAGCTGGCTTCAATGTCTCCTCAAAAAATGGGTTTTTCTTTTCTACTGCATCATCAGGCTGCAAATTTTCTGAACTTTTATGCTCTGTTTTCCCTTTTAAAATGGAATGCTTTTAACAGCACCCAAGTCACCTTTTGAATGCTTTGCTGCTTAGAAATTTCTTCCGCCAGATACCCTAAATCATCTCTCTCAAGTTCAAAGTTCCACAAATCTCTAGGGCAGTGGCAAAATGCTGCCAGTCTGGTTGCTAAAACATAACAAGAGTCACCTTTGCTCCATTTCCCACAAGTTTCTCATCTCCATCTGAAACCACCTCAGCCTGGACCTAATTATTGTTCATATCACTATTGGCATTTTGGTGAAAGCCATTCGACAAGTCTCTAGGAAGTTCCAAACTTTCCCACATTTTCCTTTCTTCTTCTGAGCCCTTGAAACTGTTCCAACTGTCTGCCTATTACCCAGTTCCAAAGTCACTTCCACATTTTCAGGTATCTT
This sequence comes from Homo sapiens, assembly GCF_000001405.40. Classification (NCBI taxonomy): domain Eukaryota; kingdom Metazoa; phylum Chordata; class Mammalia; order Primates; family Hominidae; genus Homo; species Homo sapiens. The sequence goes on along the minus strand of NC_000004.12, from coordinate 155,933,473 downwards.
TTCAGCAGTGCCCCAATCTACTAGTACCAATTTACTATGAGTCCATTTTCATGCTGCTGATAAAGACATACCCGAGACTGGGAAGAGAAAGGTTTAATTGGACTTACAGTTCCACATGGCTAGGGAGGCCTCAGAATCATGGCGGGAGGAGAAAGGCACTTCTTACATGGTGGCGGCAAGAGAAATTGAGGAAGAAGGAGAAGTGGAAACCCCTGATAAAATCATCAGATCTCATGAGACTTATTCACTATCACAAGAATAGCACTGGAAAGACTGGCCCCCATGATTCAATTACCTCCCCCTGGGTTCCTCCCACAACACATGGGAATTCTGGGAGATACAATTCAATTTGAGACTTGGATGGGGACACAGCCAAACCATCTCAGTCACCAAGCAGTGGCCTTAGAGCAGGGTGTTAGGAGAATGGCCTTGGAGATGAGAGATGAGGGGTATGTATAGATTAATACCCCTCACAGAGGGTAAAGCCCTACACAGTTTTTTATTGGAGAGGAGATAAGAGAGAAGAGAGTCTAGGAGGATTCCCGGCCTTTTGATCTCAATGACTGAAAAATAGAATTACCATTAATGAAACTTGAAAGTCTAAGACAGGAACAGATTTAGAAGGAAACAGTAAGAGTTCAGTTGGAACACCTAGGAAGTGATCCCAGGAAAGACTGGTAATGGGGTGGGGAAATGAGAGAACCGGGGCAGCAGGGTTTCTTGATTAAACCAGTTAGTGCTGTGGCTAACCTCATGCTTAGTCCTGCTGGGGAACTCTGGCAGCCAGGGTAAAATGTACACTTCAGTGCCATCCCATCCAAGTTGGTGATTGTCGTCTTCCCTGATTCATTAGTTGAGGGTGCATCTGGGGATGGAAATGGGGACTGGGCTTGCTTTCCTGGCTCTAGGAGGAAAAGGGCTCAGGGAAAGAACTGCAGGATCTCATTGTTGCAAGTTGGGTGAGTGTGCATTGCAGTGGTGACAGCCTTAGGATGTGTGAAGGTCTTCCAAAGCATTTGCTATAACTGGGCACAAGACCTGGTCCTTTGTACTTCAATAATATTATTTCCATGTATGGTGGATGCCTGAGACTCAGGGAGAGCCATATAGCTAGTAAACTGTGGAGTCGGATTAGAACTCATATCTGTTCAACTCCAAAGCTTGTGCTTTTACTCCCAACACTATTGGTAACGTCATGTGGTCTTAGGTTTTCAGCCAAACGCTCCTTAAAACATTGTACAGAACCTGAAAGCATCTAAGAAGGGAAAAAAATCATCTAAAATATAAAAACATAACCTAATTTTAAAGCAAAATGACCATTCCCACCCAGGGTTCTTCATGAATTTTTGTTTATCAGACCCCAGAAATTTCAGGACTCAAACTACAATATGAGAATGACTATGTAAATAAACAAAAACTGTAGGAACCTACTACATATAACAGTAGTCAGAAAAATTCAGACACAGTATAACACACTGAATTCTAGGGAAGATGAGATGAAAATCCACATTATGAAGCATCAGTAACAGGTCAGACTTGCCTTCATCGCCGCATCTTGATGACAATAAAATTTAGGAAAATTATTTGAACTATTATTATTATTCCATTCATTATAATAATAATGAATAATAATTATAATTCATTAATCAATGATTAATAATAATTATAATAATAATTCGTTATAATAATAACGAATTATTATTTCCAAAACTGTAGGTTTTGGAAATTATTAATCTGTGAAATGAATAGTAAGCTCATGGAATCAATGTTTGATAATAAAGCCATTATAACAATGTACATGTTGATAGTAGTTCTATATTGGGTTAATAATGGAAATTAAAATGCTGTCTGGAGCATTATTTGAACTCTCTAAAAGCTGACATCTTTCTGAAAGACAAATGATAGCAATGCCACTCAATTCTGGGGCCAAATGGAACATTTGCCTCTGCTTATGACTGAGGCTTGTCCTTCTATTTCTTACTTCTAATCTTTGATATCTTTTTTCAGCTCTGGCCCAAATCAGGGATTATTACTAAATTGTTTCTTTGATTCTGCAATGTCAGTTACCCTTTGCATTCTAAAAATATTCCTTCTTCTTGATCTTTCTGCTTTTCTCCTGGTATCCCTGAAACTGGATCTTTGATGAGATGAACTTCCAGTAATCCTTTGTTTTCTTCAATTGATGGAGACGGCTGTGTTCTGGTTGATAGAAAGATTATTATATATATCATGTTTAAATCATGAACTATGCTAAGAATTTTGATACAATAAGATATACTTTATACACTAAATCCTATGGGGAACACAATTAGTTATTAGATAAGTTAGAAATGAGGGAAATAAATAATCCTTATTGTAAACTTGGAGTAAAACTTATGTGCTGGGCATGCTACATAATTTATGTCTTGCAAAATTGTATGCCATAATTTTATCCTTGTATTGATTCTGCATGGTAGGTTGAATGGCTGCAGTGTATAGTTGGAATTTGAACCCAGGTGTGGGACAATTAAAAACCTATAACCTATCATGATGCCTTTTAAAAATTTTACAATTTTGCCTGTCTCAGGATAATCTTAGTTAATATGAACTGTTTTACAGTAGCAAAAATTAGAAATATCTACTTATAGATCTCAAAAAGCAGATATTCATGTTAATAGTTAACATGAATAAATGTATAAAATGAATATATAGTTTCTATTTCAATCAATTCCATTATTATGCAGTCAACTTTTTGCTCCTCTGTGGACAAAATATTCCCTCTCTAGAAACTGGTCTCCAGCTGGTCGTCATGAAAGATTATTTACTTACTTATTAGTGGATTATTACCACTAATCCACCCATGGCTTGCTATAGCAGTAAACTATCAAATGTTATCTTAATAGTTTGAACTATTAGGAACTTGGTTTCAGTATCCTTCACCCACAAAGCTGACCTTTGAAAAGTGTAAATAATGATTTGATCACTCACTTGTAAGATCAATGAAGGACAAATGTTGTATAATATGAGACTTTATGTCCATGTGTGAAAACAATAATTGTGTATTTTGCAGTCTTCACAGTTGAACACCTAGTTCTCCGGGCATCCTAACATTTCTTCTCTTTTTAAAATATTTGCTTAACATTGCTTCTATTGTATAATTATATTAGCCACTTTTGAGTAGCCCTTCCCTATAATTTCTATATTTGACAATGACTAACATGAGTTAGTCTCTTGATTCTCATGGTGTGGCAGAGATGGCAAGGTATCGCCAAATATCTAGTCTTTCCACTTTCCTTAATAAAAGAAGCCCTATGTCTTAACTAATTTTCCAGCCAGCTACAGAACTCATTCCCCATCTTCCTTTAAGCTAGACTTAGCCATATGACTGAGTTCTGGCCAATGAGATCCGTGAAGATATATGTGGAAGTGTTGCGGGTTATTTCTGGGAAGTCTTCTCAACAGAGATGTATCACTTCTGCTTTCTACTTCCTGCTGTCTTAAATATGTGTTAAATGGCTGGAGTCCCAGCAACCATCTTGGACCATGAATGGACCCTGAAAATGGAAACCTTTGAATAGCAGGACAATGATAGAGAAAGAGCTTGGGTTCCTGATATCCTGAAACCCTATCCCAGCCATAGACTACCAGTCTCTCAGACTTAGCTTCCATTGTTTAGGTCCTTTGTAACTGCAACCAAACCTACTCAGAATCATACACAGATTATATAGATCATTGTTATTTTTACCTTAAAAACTAAATTTTCTAACCAAATATTTCCTCTTTTGGTAGTGACCAAGAAGATGAAATGGCAAAAGCACTTCTTACCTTTGGCCCTTTGGTAGTCATAGTAGATGCAGTGAGCTGGCAAGATTATCTGGGAGGCATTATACAGCATCACTGCTCTAGTGGAGAAGCAAATCATGCAGTTCTCATAACTGGGTTTGATAAAACAGGTAAGTGCTGATAAGACTCAGTTGACTGCTTTCCAGCATGGACACTGAGTGCAAAATGATCACCATACTGTAGAACATTGAAATTTGGTTCTGCTATGATTAAGTCCTCATAAGACCTTCACAACTTCTCAACAATCTTATAGGAGTAAATGTGCCGAGACCAGCTCAGTTGTGGAGACCCTAACCCAGCGGCGCTAGAGGAATTAAAGACACACACACAGAAATATAGAGTGTGGAGTGGGAAATCAGGGGTCTCACAGCCTTCAGAGCTGAGAGCCCCGAACAGAGCTTTACCCACATATTTATTGACAGCAAGCCAGGGATAAGCATTGTTTCTATAGATTATAGATTGACTAAAAGTATTCCTTATGGGAAATAAAGGGATGGGCCGAAATAAAGGGATAGGTCTGACTAGTTGTCTGCAGCAGGAGCATGTCCTTAAGGCACAAGATTGCTGATGTTATTGTTTGTGGCTTAAGAACGCCTTTAAGCAGTTTTCTGCCCAGGGTTCGGCCAGGTGTTCCTTGCCCTAATTCCGGTAAACCCACAACCTTCCAGCGTGGGCGTCATGGCCATCACGAACATGTCACAGTGCTGCAGAGATTTTGCTTATGGCCAGTTTTGGGACCAGTTTATGGCCGGATTTGGGGGGCCTGTTCCCAATGTAAATGTCTTGTCAGATTCCACCTGTCAATTTTTGAGTGGATATCCTGTTAAAATGATGATAATTTTTGTTGATATAAAACTGTATCGGGAACATTTAGAATAATTGTTGGGAAAAGGTAAGTGCATATTATTTTATCATACGTATCTAAAAGTTCTTTTTTCTTTTTCTGATTCCTTGGAAATTAGTGTTTGTTTTCATTTTATGCAGTCCCTGTATAAAGGGAAGTGAATTCAAACATATATTTCTACTGATTGGAGAGTGTCCGTAAGTACTGCTCAGGTTTACTTAGTTAAAATAAAGTAGTTTAAGTTACCATTAAATTACATTTTTAATCTTCTTCTCAGAGCTACTATCCTTAGCAAGAATCCAACTTAAAATAAAGAAACTTAAACATTCATAACAAATTTGAGTTTTCAGGATTTGTTACTATTTATGTTTCACTGTAGGAAGCACTCCATATTGGATTGTGCGGAATTCCTGGGGAAGTTCTTGGGGAGTAGATGGTTATGCCCATGTCAAAATGGGAAGTAATGTTTGTGGTAAGTCATGAGTTTGTGTTTAAAACCTCAATATAAATATTAAGGAGATTATTTGAATATTTTAGAGTTACAATCTACTCAAACCACTTTAGCAGTAATAATTTTTGTCCTTTAACCAAATGATAAAAAAAAAAGTGTTTTGCAAGAGGAACTGTTAAACATATTAGTATTTGAAAAAGGAAGAGGGACCTTAGTAAAAAATATATATTACATATATATCTCAAAACATAAGATAAAGTAATAATTTACCAAGGTTAATTGCTTTAAAAATGAGATAAACACACAGCTTAGGAGACTGGACTCCTGCAGAAATGTCTTCTTGTTCCAAATTTACATTTCATAACTATAAATTTTTCTTAATTTCTGTATTATAATATCTGCTCAATGATTATCAAGAGTTTTTCTTTGTTTTAAAATATACGAAAACTAAGCATTAGTATTGTTTGTGATTTAATATGCCCCTTGCCACCTACAAAATTCTAGCAAAACACCCACTAGAATTGAGAGGCTTAGGCAAATACCAAACATGCTTTTTTATTGAGTGACAACTTTTTTTTTTTTGAGATAGAGTCTCGCTCTGTCTCCCAGGCTGGAGTGCAGTGGCATGATCTCGGCTCACTGCAAGCTCCGCCTCCCGGGTTCACACTCTTCTCCTGCCTCAGCCTCCTGAGTAGCTGGGACTACAGACTCCCGCCACCACACCTGGCTGATTTTTTGTTTTTGTATTTTTAGTAGAGACGAGGTTTCACCGTGTTAGCCAGGATGGTCTCAATCTCCTGACCTCGTGATCTGCCCTCCTTGGCCTCCCAAAGTGCTGGGATTACAGGCGTGAGCCACCACGCCCAGCCTGAAACACAACTTTTTAAATGAACCACCAACCAAACTAAAATAGCTAGTTAAGAATTTTAACCGTGTTATAAAACTATATTCAAACCTATATTCTAAAACTTTTGGTCTAGAAATCAACATATTTTCTGAATCAAGCTAGACCCAAACTAAGTTACATATTAGAGCAATCATGTCATTTCTTATTATAATTTGTTCCAACATATATACAATTTTTTTAAATGCAGAATCTTTCAGATTATGAGACTGATTAAATAGTTACAGAAAAATTTGAAAGTTTATGTTCAATGACTATTAACCAATCATTCCATAAGGCAGAATCCATGAGAGTTCATGAGTGATCTGTTCTATCACCCTGATGAGACAGTTTTTATAAGTTATTCATTGAAAAAAGTCAACATCACAGAAATATATTGGCCAGAATACTAGCAACCCCATCAGGCCTCCACTTTTCAGCATCACTGGGGACTCGTACATCTTTGGAACTTGCAGATAAATGACTGATGCTAATCATTAACCCTTGCTGCTGAACATATATTATGTCCGACTGCAGCAGTGGTGGATCCTGGATTTGGGCTGAGGGGTGACTGCTTTCAAATCTCTTACAGGAGTGTTAAAATAACATAATTCAAATATTGGTTCATAATTGCCTCAATTATAACTACGTCCCTCACCACAACCTTTCTCCATCCCTCAGCTACTAAGGGTGAGTGGAGATAATTTCTGCTCTCTACCTGCTTTCATAATGTAAATCTTTAAGGGCATGCCTGGTTGGTAATCATACAGGGATTCAAATTCTTCCTGAAAGTGAGTATTCCCTGAAAGTTACAATGATGTCATATTACTCTTATGAGCAATGGCATAAGGCAGATAGTATTTCATAGCTGCAAGAGATTTCGAAGATACGGTTAGTTATAATAAAAACCAGTCTTCAGATAGGCTATTTATTGCTTTTGCCATGATGTTGCAATCTGTGTTCTCGTGTGTAAAGAAAGCATAGCACACTCGTGATTTATTAAAGTTTTACCCACATTCAAATTTTAGAATTTGAGTTATGAAATTGTATTTAAAATAATTTCTTAAGTTATTTTGCCTCTAAGAAATAATGTATTAGTTTAATACAGCTTCCAGATGCATTCATTTATTCAGTTAACAGGTAGTTTTTGTTGTGGATTTTTAAAATCTTTAAAATTATTTTAGTTTCTTCAAACAAAAATATTAGGCATACTTCTAATATGCCTAATCTCTTCTAATATCTGCTTTTGATGATACCATGTTTACATTGACAAGCTGTGATAAGCATTACATTATTTTCTCAGTAGATACTCTTTCTGAACCCAAATGAAAAATTGCTTTAATTTACAATTTCAAAAGCATCTAAAGAGGAAATAGACTAATAATTCCTTTTTTTTCCCTTAGGTATTGCAGATTCCGTTTCTTCTATATTTGTGTGACATGTTGGGCAGATCAAGAGACAGCTACAAAAATGAAGGTTTTCATAATGCAATGTAACATAGTACTTCAAAGTATTATTCAACTTCAAGTTTCAGCAACTACCTACAAAAGATTCTAAGGCCTAGTAGTATTTAAACTAAGTTTCAGAATGTTCCCTTCTTGTAGAGAGATGGACAACCAAAGTCAGTGGGACAAACTCCAGCACAGAAGCCTGCGAGGAAGCCTATGGAATAGTTTCCTGTCCTGAGACGAAATTCAGATTAGGAGATATTTTAGGCCCCTGCAACTGGGGAAGGCTACTGTTTGTTTTTGTTTGCTTATTATTTATTTGTTTGTTTATTGTGAGATATTTCAGGTGGGATCAAAGAGGTCATAAGAATTTATTTTCTTTTGTGGGGTGTAACTACTAGCTTTAGATTACCCCTATACACAAGAATGGCCAACCTAAAATTATGTGTGTCTTGTACAGTTAGTTATATTAGCAGCCCTCTGAGATGGCGTATCTATCGGAAGGATTTCAAACACCAATTGCTTTACCTGAACAAATGGTGCTTACCCTTTGAACAGCAGAGTGACCACGTAGAAGGAAGGAAAAGGGCAAAATCGCTTCAGTTAAACTGAAATTAAATGAACAATAAGGCAACTATATAAGTAACTTCTAGTAGCATTGCCTGAGAGACAAATTATTGTTTGATAATTTTCATTGTGAATAGGAATCCAATAGATCATATTGCTTACTTTGTTCTTTTTATACTATAGAATAATATTTTGTTCTCTAGTATATCAAAATACCAAAATATTATCTCATATTTTCTCCCTCTTTCTCTTACTCTTTACCAAGTTTTCCTGGTGGCTTGGCTTCCCTGACTAAAGAATTAAGTCTCATTTTTACTTTCCATTTCTATTTTCTTACCACTTGGTTGGCTCCCTTTGTCTCTGTACCTTTACCAACATTAGGATCTCACCTCTTTCTTCCTCCCTTAATTCATAAGCACCACTCCTATCAAAGTCCCATCTCTTAACCCTGGGTATCAAACAAACTGTGAGTTTTCCAGAATCTGTTTCCCAGTTTTCCCCTCAGCTTTCCTGGTCTCCCATCCGAACTGCTTCTTTGTGCACCTCTTGTTCTTTCTCTTGGCTCCCAGTCTTGATTCCTGTGATCACTCTTGCATCACTAATTGCACAAGTGATTTCAGGTGCAATTCTGATTAGCCTGCGTCCACACAGTGATCGATGATCCTATGTGCCTAGAAAGGACACTGTGTGCTGCTCATGACCTGCAACAGGAAAAAAGCCATTTCTTGTTAGCAGTGTAAGAACCTTAGAGCAAAGGAGTTGACCTTCTGATTGAATATAAGCACAACCATATTAAATGAATCAATACAAGAAAATTATTTCTGATACTATGTATGTACATATTTCTTCTCTAAAATGTATCATTCTTTTCTAATGTATATGATCTAACAAAAATGAAACATGAAATGCAGTAGCAACCACTAAAAAAAAAAATTCAAGGACATCTAACTTTTTCTCTCACTTTTGCCCTTTGTTTATCCTTCCCTGTGATTAGATAAACAAAATAAAAAACAAAATGCTGTATTTCTCTTCTTACGCCAGTCAGAACCAATCCGAAAAGAATGTGTGTTGACTCAGGTTTGGAGTTATTTCAGGAAGACAGATATTGACCTTTTAATTGATAAATATTCTTATTATCCTGGAATGCCAGAAAAGAACTATGTCCTGCTTGTCTAGTTTGTATTCGCTGACTTTCTATGTGATATAGATGCATTTGTAATACTCTTTTTCAAGTGCTAAAGGATTTCTAAAATTTCAAACTGATTAATATGTTTCTGCTGTTCTGGATTTTGATGACATTTACAATAAAACAACCTACATTTGACTTTGGTTTAAAAAGAACCTCTTCTTAAGTGTATGGCTTACATTTTGTCAACACGGTATTAATGTGCTTTATATTTACAGTTTTCTCAGCTCTAAATTAATATATCCAGCTTTTGGTTTTCTCCATAGGCACTTTAACCTCAGTGTTTCCGAAACTCCATTCGTCATCCTCCCTAACTTCTCCCACCACCCCCAACAAAAATTTCCTTTACCTCTAAGAGCCTCTATTTTGGTTAACAGAATCAACATTATGGAATCACCCAATCAATAAAATTAAGACAAATCCTAAACATTTAAGCAGGTCATCTGCACCTTGGTAACCCATCAATGAATTACCTACCTCCTGTGGCTACTGTCATTTCTTAGTTGCATGTTCTTTAGTGTCATTTATCTCCATTATTCAGTAGCCTACTCATTATTCTCTATGTCCCTTAGTCCAGACCCAAAGTCTGGTGATTCAGATTGATGTTCTTATAGTCCATCTACTGTATTTCCCCTGCATTTACATTTCTCAAAGACGTTATCAGTTTCTCTGTTCACAACCGTTCAAGGGCTCCCAATGCCTTATGATACCATGTGAGCTCTTTTAAGTGAGTTTTCACGAAGAAGCCCCTCTCTACCTTTTCAACCGTGATTGCTGCTGTGCTGCATAGTTTGATCACTCTTATGCTGTGATCCAGCCATAACAAACTACTTGAAGTCAAAGCAACAAAATCCTCACCTAATAATTAGAAGTCATAATGAAAGTCATCAACGTGTTTCTGGATGTGGTTTCACAAAGATCTCAAAGTGAATACTAAATTAGCCCACCTTACAGTGATTTTCTAGCCCATTTAAAAGTTATAAAGTGGGTCATCAGCACTAGAAGCAAGTGTGACTGGGGAGGGTGGGGACTTGCAGTCTAAATTATTTTGATATTTACATGAAGAATGACTGATATATCCTTTGATAAAACTCTTGCAACTTCTAGCTTAGTCACACCAAGAAATATAGGTGTAAAGAACTAAATATAACCATATAGTCTATGATATGGTTTAGCTATGATATGGTTTAGCTGTCTCTTAACCCAAATCTCACCTTGAATTGTAATAATCCCCACATGTCAAGGGCAGGGCCAGGTGGAGATAATTGAATCATGAGGGTGGTTTCTCCCATACTGTTCTCATGGTAGTGAATAAGTCTCACAAGATCTGATGGTTTTATAAATGGGAGTTCCCCTGCACAAGCACTCTTGCCTGCCACCATGTAAGACATGACTTTGCTTCTCCTTTGCTTTCCACCATGATTGTGAAGCCTCCACAACCATGTGGAACTGTGAGTCCATTAAACCTCTTTCCTTTATGACTTACCCAGTCTCAGGTATGTCTTTATTAGCAGCATAACAGCAGACTAATGCAACAGGCTAAGAAGGGAGTTACAGTATTGGCCAGGGTGATTGACCTGGACTATGAAGACGAAATCAGTCTACTACTCCACAATGGAGGTAAGGAAGAGTAGGCATGGAACACAGGAGAACCCTTAGGGTGTCTCTTAGTATTGCCATGCCCTGTGATTAATGTCAATGGGAAACTACAACGGCACAATCCTGGCAGGACTACAAATGGCCCAGATACTTCAGGAATGAAGGTTTGGGTCACTCCAGCAGGTACAAAGCCACAACCTGCTGAGGTGCTTGCTGAAGGCAAAGAGAATAAGGAATGGGGGTAGTGGAATAAGGTAGTCATCAATAGCAGCTTCAGCCATGTGACCAGTTGCAGAAATGAGGACTGTAATTGTCATGAGTATTTCCTCTTTATTTTGTTGAGAACATGTTTGCACATATATATACTTGTACTAAGAAAATATATTCATTTTATTTCCTTTATTTTTCCTTTATCATGTGATGTAAGATTTGTTGACTTCATATCAGCATTTAAGTGTTGTTAACTTTAGGTAATAGCATTTGGATTGGGGATTGGTGCACTTCCAGTTGTACAAAGGATAGCTGTATTGTGTTAGATGTAATTATGACCTTATTATTGGCTTCAGTTGAAGATTATGTGTGATTTCAGGAGATGTGGATGGGTTCAAGTTGACAAAGTTGTGATGGTTAATATTGAGTGCCAACTTGATTGGATTGAAGGATGCAAAGTATTGTTCCTGGATGTGTTTGTGAGGGTGTTTCCAAAGGAGATTAACATTTGAGTCAGTGGACTGGGAGAGGCAGACCCACCCTCAGCCTGGGTGGGCCCTGTCTAATCAGCTGCCAGTGTGAAAGGAGGCATGGAGAGAACAGACCTGCTGAGTCTTCTGGCCTCCATCTTTCTCCCATGCTGGAGGCTTCCTGCCCTGGAATAACAGACTCCAAGTTCTTCAACTTTTGGACTCTTGGACTTATATCAGTGATTTGCCATGGGCTCTGGGGCCTTCGGCCACAGACTGAAGGCTACAATATTGGCTTCCCTCCTTTTGAGGTGTTGGGACTTGGACTGGCTTCCTGGCTTGCAGACCTATTGTGGGACTTCACCTTGTAATTTTGTAAGTCAATACTCTTTAATAAACTCCCCTTCATATATACATCGATCCTGTTAGTTTTGTCCCTTTGGAGAATCCTGACTAATACAGTCTATTAAAATAATGATAAACGTTGACAAATAACATTTACACCAATATTCTAAGGCACTTTGGTGACAGAATATCTATTAACACATGTTTCTCCTGGGAAATAGCAAAGCTTATAAAATAAGTACTTTTATCCCCAGATGGATAGGAAACTAGGCTTCAACTGGTGATAGTACCAGATAGTTAATAAATGGCAGAGCCAGAATTTGCCCTCGAGCTTGTTGATTTCAAAGCTAGTGCCTTTTAGCCACCATGCCATTTGCCTCTGTATTATATCAGCCTAGCCACCATCAGATACTGTGTATACACACATACATGAGCACACAACAGTCATGGAGACAAAAACAATTATATGTAATTCTGAGACAAACTAGATGATATAATCCTTATAAGACCTTATAAGAAAAAACTTGCAAATGAAACCAAAGAATAGTTCAATTCCATCAAGAACTTACTGCTTGCTAGTGATAATCACTCTAGGTCAAGGTTGACATACATTTTAGATTTCTTAAATAATATTATGTACTTCCTCCCATAACAAAAATTTAAGTTTTCCCAATAACCTGGCCAAGCTAGAAAAAGAAGACTAAAACTCATGTCTGATCTAAACTCTTAGCTTAGTTAATGTCTTATTAGAAATGAACTGGGTCACTGTCCAGTCTGTGTACTTTCTTCTGGAAAGCACATCTTCTTTGAGGGGACTGTTCCTTGCTTTTACCTCAGTTCTGCATGCATTAGAGTTCACTCCACCTCCCAGACCACAGGCATGGGAGCTGGGGGAAAGAGAAGCTTTGCCCTGTGTGAGTCTGATGGTGCTGGAAACTGGGACCCAGCCTGAGACAGAAGCTGTTCTACTGCAGGAAAGAATAAAGCCAACACCTACAGAGAAGAGATGAGACAAAAAAGATCTCAGAAGAGTGTTCCAGGAATATAGCACTCCAGGAACTGGACCCAGTCCTTGTGGCATCAGAGTTTTCAGGCTCCTCTTTCAAGGCTTTTTGGACAGTGTTCATTTGAATTCTGCAAGCTAGTAATTCTTCAGTATATCCCCTCTAGACAAACTTCAGATAGATTTCTGTCTTTGGTCATTAAGATTCCTAACAAATACAATCAATATTTCAAAAACAATACAGGGAGAAAGATTAATACTTTATTATTTTAAAAATTTTGTTTGAAAGCCTTTGTACAGAATAATATAATGTACTGCATAAAATATTTGAAATAGATGAAGTTTACAAGTTTATAAAGATGAAACAATGAGATAGTGATTACATTAAGTGGTTACATTAAGTCTCAGGGGAAACTGAATTTTTAATAGGAAAACACCCTATGTACAATGTTACTATTTAAATGTATTCTTTCTCATCTTAATGCTTAGTCTTGTCACAAACAAGAGGTAATCAAATTGTTTCTAGAATTAAATCAGAGCATCGTGGTGCTGAACAATATATGCATACATATATTCAAACTGTATTTATGAAAATCCATAGAAAATAAAAAATAGGCTGTGAAACCAGTATTCTTCATAGATTTTGCAGACGATTTTAATCTGATTCATCACTGCTGAAGTAGGAGCTATCACAGTATTCTGCTGTATATAGAAATTTGTGAATGGTTGGGTTCATCTTCGGTATCCAGTGTCGGGGAATCAGGTATGTTGAAAGATTAAATAAATCTACAAATACCTTGTACCTATCACTGGAAAAACATACATGAAGATGTGTTACATTGGTTGACATGAAATATTTAAATTTTTCAATTAGAAAATTTATTTCTCAGATATTTTCCATAGTTAGTATTCAATATTATAATATATATTGCATGTTGTATATATCATATATTAAATTAGGTATTATGTAGTATTAGTATTGATTGTCTGCTTTTTATTCCATTTTCAAAGTTTATGCCCATAAAACAGTATTATGTGTTTTAGAACAGGGTGTTTCCTATTAAAACCGAGAGTCTTATTGCTGACACCTTCATAAAGATAAAGATGTGTTCTCATTTCCTACTTCTGAAGGATGCTATGCAAGGTAATACATTTAAAGCAAACAGTCTTAGATGCTCATTTGGAAATATTTCCAACTGAAAAGATGCCAAATAACTGCCCTGAAGGGTTTAATAAATTGAAATGCCATCTTAGACTCATAATAAATGTCCATGAAGTAGTTTTAACACTAAAATTGCTTTTGTGTGGTTAGTCAACAATTTTAACTGTTGCAGTTTTATGGAGGAAGAACATTTGCCTTTGAAGTTAAATAAATCTGGGTTCAAATTCTGGTTCTATCACCTACAATTCAAGGACCTTTGACAAGTTGTTTAAACTTCAATGCCCCAGTTTCTAACTCTATAAAATGAAAACTTTAGTCCTTCCTTTTGGTCAGGTCTTTTTAAAACTGAGATAACAACACACTAGAGATGCCATTTGTGTTCATTATTCCCACCACCCACTGATGTGTGTGCTCATTTGGTATAGGCAGTTATCAACTGTTTTGTGCTTACAGAATTCATTTCCAGGGACAGTGAAAATGTCTAAAAATGATGAAAATTTAAACCTGTGTATTTCAGAAACCAACCAATCTGGTAATAACAGTAGGGACGAAAGCAATGTGCTGTAAAGATTTGAGGTGGGGCTAAATGCAAATGTCTAATTTATTCTTGAATTGATTCTTCTTTTTCAAGGGACCACAGAAGTTTTTCAGTTTCCCGATGTATCCATTTGTCCATTTATCTATGATATTGTGAATATCAAAATAAGAATGTACATCCCTTAGAAACCTCTCTAGCATATTTTAAGTCCTCAATAAATGTTGATCTCTTTCCTTGTAAACACTTTAAAAGGGGCACTCTCTGGAGTAGATGGAAATAGTTTTATAATATAAAATAGCCATATCAGAAAACAAGACGCTACTTTAACTGTGTCATTTATCTAGCCAGGAAGACATTAGTAGAATTAATGATAAATGTTTTAGTCTGGTCAAAACTTGAGTCACAATGAGTTGAAGACTTTTCTGCCTGGATGTAAGCACTGTTAAACCCTTTGTGTCCTCACATATCATGCAGCCATTGATACCATATCCCTTTTCATACAGGATCAAAACAGTGAAAGTTCATAATTAAAGATTTTATAAAATTACCACCAAAAGTCTGAACTGGAATATTCTAACTACAAACGTGTTGTTAGTAGTTCAGACAGGAGCAAATAAAATGGCTTTTTTTAGATAGCAAATGTATAGGTGGAGAAACAAATTGTTGGTGACTGCCACCAGGAAGAAAGGAGAATTTCCCCACCTACCTCACAGTTGATCGCAGGTAGTGATAGCCTGAGGAACCACCGGTGCCAGCTTTGCTGCCCAGCATTCTGTGCACCATGCACACATGGTTATCTAGGCAAACATACAAATTTACTCCATGGATATTTTTCCACCATTAGTTCCACAATGTTCTAACAATGAGGGGTTGGTAATGATAATTGCTTCTGAGAAAATGTTGACAACTAACACTTGGCCATATGGAAGGCTCATACATGAGAGCCAGATGAGACTGTGAGGTTGCCTAGCGCTCCACTTGCTTCAGGCTACATGCATTTCACTCCATCCTTCGCTGCATTTAGCCCATGGATACAATAGAAGAGACCAGGATCATAATATGACTCATGAGTCCATGCCACCTTTGCCTTTATGGGGTCCTTCATTTAAAAAAATAAAAAAACTATTAAAATTAAAAATTTAAAACTGCATTGGCATAATGGCAAATAAATTACTCTTATGTAATAAAACTTTTATGACCTAAAGTTTAATTTTTCCTTTAGATTTTAAAATAAAACATTTTCATGAGCCCCCAAAAGTATTGTGGGCCTTAGGTACTGTGCCTAGTGTGTATATGAATAAGTTGGCCCTGGGAGAGAGTGATGGCCAAGCTGATTTGTATAAAAGAATGCACCCACACACAAAGGAGGGGGAAAGAGAGAAAGTGGGCAGGAGGGCACACAGAAGACCAAGATAAAGAGCACAGGAACAGCATGTGGGGAAGCAACATGGGGTGAGTGGGAAGGACTTACATCTCCATTTGGTCATCAGTGAATCTATGTCCATAAGAGAAGTCAGCAACTGAAAAGGCACCTGGAACCTAGGCTCTTCCCTAAAGGAAAAAAAGAAGAAAAAGAAGAATATATTCAAGTAAATCGAGTGTGTTAGGAGGAGCATGAGTTTGACAATCAGTTGGCCCTGGAAACAAATGTCAGCTTTGCCTGTGAGGAGCTGTGGCAGCTTTGGCTTATTCTCTCAGTCTCAGTTTCTCCATCTCAAAGATGAAATAATACTACTCAACTTGCAGTGTTTGTTTGAAGCCTAGAAAAGTCCATGTAATATACATGAAGTAATCACCTAGAGTCACACCTAACATTGGTTCTTATTAAAAGCGAGACAGGTGCACTATTACAGATTTCCCAGCCGAAAATAATCAAACACTTCTAGGCAAAGATATTAAAACACAAAAGGAAAAACCACTTTTTATTTCTTTTCATCTATTTGTTTTTTTGTTTTGTTTTTTTTGTTGTTGTTTTGTTTTGTTTTGTTTTTTTACATCTATTTCTTCACCTTTCTCAGCATATTTTCTAGTTAGGACACATATGCCTAATTGGCATACATTTACTTGAGTTTAGGAAAAAAGTCAAAAGATTTTGTTTATGTTGCCATTTTGAAGAAAGACTTGAGAAGATTTTAAAAATTAAATACACAGAAGCATGACGGCCTGTAAATATAGGTATTTTTTTACTAGTGTGATGTTTATTGTTCTGACACATTTAATTCATGAACCCTGAGGATGGGACCTTCATACAATAGAGTAGGAGTGAGTCAATATTTCAGGAATACTTCAAACTTTTTAGACAATGAAGCTAATTTTACTTGAAATTGCTGAATAAGTGGTACAGTTTGCAAGTTATTTTCACTTCATGCATTTTTTATTTTCTTAAACAGGAATAATCTTAGAGCATTGTTTAATGATAGAACACATTTCATGAGTGAGTCTCTGAGAGAGTAAACTGGCCATTTAGGACACTTAGTGTTACATAGTGCTTTTTAGACGCTTGTAATCCCAGCACTTTGGGAGGCCGAGGCGGGCCGATCACGAGGTCAGGAGATCGAGACCATCCTGGCTAACACGGTGAAACCCCGTCTCTACTAAAAATACAAAAAAATTAGCCTGGCGTGGTGGTGGGCGCCTGTAGTCCCAGCTACTCGGGAGGCTGAGGCAGGAGAGTGGCGTGAACCCGGGAGGCGGAGCTTGCAGTGAGCCGAGATTGCACCACTGCACTCCCGCCTGGGCCACAGAGCGAGACTCCGTCTCAAAAAAAAAAAAAAAAAAAAAGGATATTTGATTAATTTGTGTAGTGTTTAACCCCTTTTAACCCTGTTCAGGGAAAAAGTTATGCCTTTACTATTTAAAAGAAAAAAAAAGGGACGGGGGCATAAAACTTCATTACTAATTATCTTCCAAGTTTTCTACAAAAACTAAATTACTGCATTAAACTATGATTGTAATTTTTAGGCTTTATACTGGACATGTTATCCATATCCACCCCTCAATTTTAACTTCAGTCTCTCTTCGGATTTGCTTTACCTGTAAAAATATATCATCAATGCTCCCTGAAGTGCTCTGTATGACAGCCGTCTTTCACCTGCAAAATACATACTAAATTTAAATTTTTTAGGTCATTTAAGGTAATTTTGTATTAATTTGGCATCGTCATCTTAAAAAATTTAATGGATTACATGTGTTTAGAAATCAATATAAGTTTCAGTTTACATTTTTTATCCCTTAGGTTGAATTTGTAAACATATCACTTAAAATACAATTTTAACATTGGATTTTAAAAAACAAACTAAAAATGTACATATTTTAAATTTTCAAAACCTTCAAATAGCATGTTAGGAAAACCTGATTTTTCTAGAAAACACTTGACTTTCATAATAAAATTCATTTTCCGAGTAAAAGAATATGTGTCTTTCATTTCAAAAAAGTAGTGATGTGTTATAAGCATCATTTCAAAGTAGTTTTCATTAATTCACTTGACATTAGTTAACTTGTTTTTAATGAGCACAATTATGTAAAATCATACATGTGTGCTCTAATGAAAGACTTTCTCCCTGCTGCAGCGAAACAAGATTTTGCTATTCTTTACTGAGATTTGTTTTTTTTAGAAAACAGAAGCTAACAACCTTTAAGCTTATAAAACTTAATACCAATTTCACGTATTGCTATGTTTCGTACTTGTGTTATAAAAGTTAATTTTTACTTTTATTCTGCATATTTCCAAAAAGGTTTGGGATGCGTTACAATAAAAGTTCTAAGTCAAAATGAACGCAAAAGTTTAGAAATGAAAGTACTGATTTTATGGCTCAATAAATTTCAGGAACTAACAGCTCAGTACTAATTGTGCCGAAAGTCTAAATGTATGCTTTTCCTGGTATCTTGGTCAGTCAAGCAGATTTGTATGAAAGAACTCACCCACACACAAAGGAGGGAGGAAGAGAGAAAGAGGGCAGGAACATTCCAAGCCCAGAGAACACATAAAAAGACTCTTTGATGATAAATCCAAATAACTAAACTTAGCTAATAAAAGAAACTTAGTATGGCTGGACCACATGAATATGAGATCATAAAAGGCCTTATAGACCACGTTAAAGATTTTATCTTAATTCTAAAACAATGGGGCGACATCAATACTTGCTCTCACGGTAGCTATTCCTTCCTTTTCTTACCTCTACCATAGTGTTTACTGTTACAATGATTTGTCTTCATTTCTGTCCCTATTAGGCTGTGAACTACTTGAGAAACTATATGCAATTCATCTTGATATCCCGTATATCTGGCAGAGACTATAAATTTTTTTCTAATGTTTTTCAAATAATCTGGGCATGGAAACCCGTTAAAATAGGTTTATCACCAAAAACATTTACTCCATTTTTGTTTCTATCAGTAGAATATCAATTTTCATTCTATTTCTCCCAAGTAAGGCTTGATAGTCTTATAAAATGATGTCTTGATCTCATATTCACACATTCCAGGGAAAAGATTCATAAAGTAAAAATACCTGCCTTTACTAAGGAGATGTTCATGACGTTTCTCATCAAATAAGGACAGTAGCACCTCTTTTTGCTTCTGAAATTCAGCCACCTGTTCCTCTTTTTCTTCAGACTCTTCTTTAGCCTTTAGGAAAAATATGGCATTAATAGTCCTGAGAGAGAATAAGTAGATTGATATTTTAGAAAACTTTGCTTATGAGGAAAAGACTTATGGTTGCAGAAATGATGTACTTTTAATATTTACTGTATCTTCTAATATTACTATTTGGAAATTATGTCTTATGAGAAGGAATCTTCCACATACTCAGTGGTTCTATCCTTTTATTTAAGTTTAAATGATTTCTCAATATTAAATATTATCTTCATAAATATAATGAGCAATGGACTCAGATGGACAAAATTGGAGATAACTACCAGCAGTTAATAATGATATAATTTTAAACAAGAATTAAACACAGGAAGTAAGGTAACTTCACTTAGAAAAAGTTAAGAATTCCTAGTCAGAAGAACTATTAAACCTATTGAAATTCTATGTTCTATATTCAGTGTTGAATTCTGTAAATACAATTTCTTAGATATTTCTCACTCATGTTTTATTCATTTTCTATCTATCTATTGATTGGTTTAAGAAAATTCTTATTTTTCTGCCTACAACACATATTCTGCTTATAAGCCAATTAATTGAGCTGGGGAAAATTATTTAACCCAATTATTTCCAATTCATCAGAACCACCACACTGTGTAGTACTAACCTATATGCATATTATTTCAAATTAATTATTTATTTATTCAATACATGTCATGCTAAGATGATAGAGATAAAATTGTGTGCAAAAATTGAGAGTCGTGATATTATACAGGAATTATCTGGTAGGAATAAGACATTGAACAAATAATAACCCAGTACAGTCATTAAATTACAACCATAGACTATGCTATATGTCATAACTTAAAGTAATAAGGAGTTTAGGAAAGACCTTTCTAAAGAAGTTTTCCTCGAGCCAAGATCTTCAGAGTGGGAAGGAGTTAGTTGGGGAAGAACATTCCAAGCCCAGAGAAGAACACATAAAAGGACTCCTTGGTGATAAATCCAAAGAACTAAACTTAGCTAATAAAGAAACTTAATATGGCTTGACCACATGAATGTGAGATCATAAAGGCCTTATAGACCAGGTTAATTTTATCTTAATTTTAAAAACAATGAGGTAACATCAAAAGGCTTTACACAAAAGGGAGATGTGATCAGATTTGCCTTCTGAAAAGATTATTCAGACTGCAATGTGGAGACTAAATTGGAATAGAGGCATACTGGGAAGGTGGGGGAGCACAGTTCAGATATTATTATAGTCCAGGTGAAAAACGATGGAGGGTTGCACTTGAGTGGTAGTGGTAGATTAAAGGATGATATTTGAGAGCTAATAGGTAACATTGGTAGGACTTGATGATAGCTTGAAGAAGTGGTGAAACAAGAGGGCGGAGCCAAGGATCACTGATTGATAAGAGTCTGACGACAGCCTAGATGGATTATAGGAGAAAAAATTCTTTAATGCAGAGAAGACAATGTTGGTACAAGAGTGGATGGAAGGGGAAATGTTCAAGTTTGGTTTTATTGGTGTGTTTTTGAGAGGACCAGGAGGAAATATCAAGTAAGGTATTATATACATGTTCTGAAATCTAAGGGGATATATAAACCAGAGATAAATGTTTGAGAATTATGGTGGCTAAGTAGATATTGAAGCAGTGGGTATAAATGACACCATCTAATGAAAGAGTATAGAGATAGAACAGAAAGGATCTAAGCCAATGGACTACAAAACTCTACCATTTATTGGTCTGAGAGAGAAATAAGAGCAAGTAAAAGAGATAGAGAAATAAGGGCCAGAGAATTAGAAGCAAACATAATGGTATATACTAAATCCAAGAGAAAAGAATGTTCAAGAAAGAATAAGTAGTAGTCATTAGTATTGAATGTTTCTGCGAGGTCAACTAAGTTAAGATTAAAAATGGCCATTGGATTTATGTACATGAAGGCCACATGAGAATGATGGTACAGGAAGACAGCTTGAAGTAAGCTCAGGATTAGCTGAGAGATAACTATTCTGACTTCTGCTTTCAATGCTTTACAAGTATTTATTTAATTTCCTGTTCATAATAATCTTATGAGTTAGATATTCTTATTTTTCTATTTTGCCAATGCTGAAAGATAGGCTAAGAGAGGTGCAGTCACTTGTTCTCTGTCACATAGTTGTTTAAGAAGTGGAAGTGGAAATGGAACCCAAGTAGCATGACTTCAAAGTCTATGCTTTCAGCACTACCTGATGCAACCTCTCAAGATGTAGAATTTAAACAAGTCTTCCAGGAAATTTAGTCATGCCAAGAGGATGAGAGACCTGAAAGATAAGGGCAATGAGCAATCAACAGTATCTTTTAAGTAGGAGAAAACTGACATTGTCTGAGAGCTGCCAGAAAGCACCCAGTAAATATACAAGAGCAAAAGCAAAGCTACAGGGCTAAATAGATTTGGTTCGTTAGTCCACTGTGGGCCTAGTTCTGTCTAAAATTGGTTCTAATATAGAATTTTCAATAGAAATGAAAAATAATATTAATCTCAGCTAGTTATCATAGACAAAATTCTCCCGTGCAATGAAGGTCTTATTTTAGTATAATATTTATCACACATAAAGAAAATGAAATCAATCATGTCACATAGTCCAAGAAAATACATTTGTCTAAGAAAAAAATATGAGAAAGAGAAAAGGTTAAGAGAAAAGCAAAAAATAATTAAAATAAAATTTTGAATATTTCTGTATTGAATTTATATTAACTCATGTCATCTAAATACCTGAATCCTTATGAATTCCTCTTCCAGGCCTCTGGTGATATTTTTTTCAAGCTTTCCCCAGAAGTTAAATCCATGTGGCTCTAAACCTGGAGTTCTTTCCAGCCATGCCTTAAATAAACATTATTTTTTAAGTGAGTACATGGTAAAATTATGTAAAATGCATTGTAACCGACATGTATAAACTTAAAACAAGAAATCTTCATGGTTTCCAGAAACATATGCTACAAGTTTTATTTGTAAATGTTTTTTATTTCTCTTCAATTTCTTCATTTATGAAATAATTAATATATTCAATTTTCTTAATTTTTATGGCAATGGTTAATAATGTTTACTCTTTATTTCTTAAGAAATATGTGATTACAGAAATTCCAATTGTCTTCTAGAAATCTACAAACATATTTAAACATATGTTCTATCTAAACATATTTAAAGAGTATATTCTTAATAATTATTTTACTAATATATTCTGGTTTATTCTCAAGTTACTTTATGTCATAGGAGCTTAAGAAATTACGATATGTATAAGATACGATCTCTTCTAAATTCATGGGCACTGTATACTTAGCAACTTTGAAATTAACCATCCATGCAATTACTTTGAGATTTTAAAATGTTTTTAAATCTAGAAATAAAACTAAATTCATGTACCTCTGTGAGTTCTCATTTAACCTATACTTATTATAATTCTGAAATTAGCTTTGTAATTCTTTTTCTCCCTATTCTTATCTGCCATTATTTGGCATTATATATAATACATTAACCTAAATCCACATTTACAATACCCAGAGGATTAATGAGCAGAGTATAATTCAACACAAGAAAAGTTAATTTGCAGAAGAAAAGGCTTTGTAATGGAAAGCAAGACAATACAATCTTTGTTTAATAATCTATTTTGAAGAAAAAATTAATAATTCCTAAAGGCTACTTACAGACCTTTAGGGAATTTGGATATGAAGGGAACATTTTCTGAGGTGTATATTCTTAGTAATTTAGTTCAGCTAAGAAAAATACTAAATAACTGGAAATTTTCAATTACAGAATATTTTAAAACAATAAAGCTCACTAAATAATCACACTCAGTCTAAAAATCAGCTAATTAAGTGTTACTTAGAAGGGATATTTAAGGAATTGTTTTATTGAGATGATAAGGTTATTAAATATTAGCATACAATTGATTACATAAGTATTTCCGAAGTTCTCAGCAGGGTTCTTGACATTTTCAATATTTTAGTAACATGAATTTACAAATTCATGTATTTTTATGAATTCTTTCTATCCTTATTTCCACTGAATGTAACTCAGTTTCGATATACGTTTTTAAAATTCTGATTTAGCAAAAGCTAAATTAAGAAGATGTATTGAGTTAAACTTTATAAATTGTATGAATCCATACCTCCACTAATTCCAGAAGTGTCTTTTCCTGCTCAGATTTAAGTAGCAGTTCATTTTCTTCTCCTTTGAAGTTATCACGATAATGTCTTCTGTTATAAGGGACTCTCATGTTCTGAAGAACACCTATCTTGTTTTCTAATAGTCGGAATTGCAAACTCTGGAAGCCTGATGCTGGAGATAAGTACTCTCTTTGAGATTAAATGGTGGAAGGAAAGGCAAGGGAAGGGAAAGAGAGGAGAGGAGAAGAGCAGAGAAGAGAAAGGGGGGGGAGGGGAGAGGGGAGGGGAGAGGGGAGGGGAGGGGAGGGGAGAGGGGAGGGGAGGGGAGGGGAGGGGAGAGGAGTCCAGAGGAGAGGAGAGGAGAAGAGAGGAGAGGAGAGGAGAGAAGAGAAGAGCTGACATTATCAACCACCATAATGGTTTCTTCTATTGTAAGAGATTGTAGAGACTGTCAGTTTTACTCTTGGATATCAAGAGCAGATACACACAACTGTCTAGAGTTAGACCTGTGATTTGACTCACTGAAATCAGAAAAATGAGCTACTTAAATATCATCGGATATCAAAAATGTTATTACTCCCACTCCCCATATTATATCTTTGTGAATGTCTTTCATTTCACTGCTGCTAAGACTTTAACGTTTTAAATTCACCACAAATTCTACTTTTCCTTTGTCAGACATGTTCAGGACATGCATGTTACATCCTACACCCAATGGAAGTTTCTTAAACTTTTTTCTTCTCACATTTTGGTAAGAAAAAAGCTATCTATATGGTATTGCCTTGAAATGTACAGGTAAAATTTATGGTTTAATCCATAACTTCTACTTTGATTGACATGCTTCTGTATATATCGCTCCTGTTTTGAGTTTTTATATCTTTTAAATTTAATTACATGTATTTTATTAGCTATTTTAGTCAATGTGCTAAGTTGTCTAAAATTCTTTTTGGAGAAAAACAGAACACACAGTGATGAATTTAAATCAATTGATCATATTACGCTTACATGTAAAAATGAATAATAAAATATTTTTAATAACTTCTCAAATGCTTTGTGATCGAAGACCCCTAAGTCCATATAGTGACAAAATGTTAGTAAGACAGGCTCCTCATGGCACAAAACACACACATGCTGCTTTTACCCCACCAAAATGAGAAAGTAAATTCCATCACATTTTTTAAAATGCCAAATGTGCACACCTGAAGTCATTGAAGTCCAAGGCTGTCATCGTCTCCAGAATGGAAAACTGCTGCACCAGCAGTTTCAGGATCACTGACACTCGGTGCATCCGAGAAACAACCTTAAGCATGTTCCTTTCATCTCTGACCTGAAGGTTAAGAAATGAAACACTGAGTTAGCAATGCTGACCTCTAGAAAATACAAAATAGACAATGGCAATGAATTCCCATTAATTTTGTCTCTAATTTGGTTTTAAAGGGAAACTTTGAAACTAAAATTTGCAAAGAGTATATAACAGTTCTGAATTGTGGGCAAGGAATTTCTGCAAAATAAGAAATTTTTTCTTTCTTTGACAATAGAAAATTATATAGAAGCATAGCAGAAGTAAATTCTAGAATACAACCCCCCACTGATTTCAAAACAAGTTTCTCTTTTAGTTTTGTTTCAAAGAACAGAGGTCAAGATAACACAGGAACTTCTGAGTGAGGGTTAAACAACATGTGGATCAATCTACTCTTTACTGAGGGCCAAAGTTGCCACTGACACAAATGGGAAGTGGATTCATGCAGGCAGGAAGGGTCCCATCTGTATGGGTCCCATGTGCTCTGTCTCCTAGCCCTTCTTGGAGCAGGGGCTCAGAGGTAGAGGACCCAAGGAAGGATCCTCAGAGCCATGGCAAGAGAAAGCAGGGTGGGAGATGGAGAAGTGCACCTCAAGCTCCTGCCGTCACTGGAAGCTTTCCCTCCTCTCCTCTCACTCTTTGTCCTCCTGTCCTTTTCTTCCCCATTGCCCCATTCCCCTTTTCCCCCTTTTCTTCCTCTTTTTCTTCCTCCCACCACTCTTTCTCTACTGCCTCCTTCTCTTCCTTTTTCACTTTCTTTATTATTGCTCCCATCTTCCTGCAGCTAATATTCAGTAGAAATACAATTCTGGTACCTGTTAATTAAAGGATCCCCATTAGCTTGGTAATCCACCATCATTTATAACATCTTTGTGGGTGGAAATGAGTTCTAAACAAGGGACTTGAAACTGAAATTTGAAAGGAACCTTAAAGTCACATGTAATTTCAAAATAGCAATGGAAAAATATGACTGAACTCCTCATTCATTCATAAAATGTCTGTTTGTTCTATCATTAAAAGTTAAGACCACCATTTGGTGTTAATGTTTTTCTCTCATTAATAATACTTTCCATATCTTCCAAAAATATACATGAAACCAATATTGTGACATAAGAACTTACATGGCCATTCTGAAAGATCTCTCGAACAGAATCCAACTCCCAGAGGATTTGCTTAAACCAGAGTTCATAAGCTGTAATAAGGAAATCATTGTCAGTTGGAAAGTTATGGGAGCCTTTTTGGCCATTATTATATGAAAGATATGTTTAACATGTTGAAAGAGAAATTAAAATGTTACCTTAAAATCAATAAATGTAAATATAGTCCCATTGTGTGCCAGAAATAAATGTTAGTGTTAAAGTTGTAATAGCCTCCTTTTATTAAATGTTTTAATATGCTAGACATGTTACCTAATGCTTCATATTCATTATTATTACACTAATTCCTCTCAACAAATGCATTTTTAGGTCTTTGAGGATATAGCACATAACCTAATTCTAGCTTCCTCTATGGAAGCTGGAAGTATGTGGGGAAGCAGAAGTGATAATCAACTTCATCTACACACTGAGAAATTAATATTTCCTAACCTAAATGAAAGACTGTAGGATTTTAAGAACTTGAAAATACAAAGCTAAGTTACTTAAAATGCAGCATTTTGTCTGTTTGTTTTATTTGTGAAAATCCTAGCAACTCATAGACTTAGCACATATGGGAAAGCGGCCAGATGTTTGTGGTCAAAGGAAAATGGCAAAGCTTCATATTACTGTAACAGCTAATTCCCGGGGGAACTTTGTGGCAATTGAGTTCACATTATCCAGTAGATCATCTTTCAGAATTTCCATGAGTCCAAGGTTTATTTGTTCAAACCTGAATACTGCCAAAGCTTTTCTGTCGAAGGATTAAGTTTGTTCTCCCCTTTTACTACGGGCTGTCAAACAGTAACATTGGCATTAAAGAAAAGTGATACAGTAATGACATGTTGGAAGAAGCATAGTTGGAATCAATCTATCTGAAGTGACGGGCTGTGTCAATTGGGGCAAAACCATTTTCTTTAACTTCAGTTGATTCATTTGCAAAATGATCAGTTACCCACCTACAATTGGAAACCTATGATTCAAAACCTTAAGACTTACAGCAGTATGGTAGACATGGATAGACATTTTGACTCCTTTGTGTTGCTAGATGATTCATAGCAAATATAAATGGTTCTCCCCGTTGATTTGTCCTTCCCATAGTATTCTTTGTCACTAGAAACTAAGGACTTACTCATACTCATCCATTTTTCTTCATTACCTAGCACAGTGTCAGGCATAAAGTAAATATTGGGTGATTATTTTTATTTTTATGAATAAATTAAATAGACAATGTAATAATTAGATGACACAGGAAGTCAATAATCTTAGAGATCTTCAGTGCATCCTATTTGGTTCAATCATATGGATAAAGGCAATGTTTCCATACTAATTAAGAGAATCCAATTATAACTCTAAGTTATGTTTAAAAAGACTTTGGGGGACCTAATTTTTATATTTGAGCAAAGAACAATCAAACATTTATTGATCAGTTTATGTATATCTTTTTTAACCCTATGTAACCACTGCCTACATGTTATAACTAAAGAATAGAAGAAAAGTGTTTTTATAAAATAATGATAGCTACCATTTGTTGCATGTTTATTATGTGCTATACCTCGGGCTAAATGCTTGATGCACATTATCTTATTTATCTTCCTAGGAACTCTGTAAGTGAGAGCATCAGTAATTCTCTCCATTTTACGTATGGGGAAATGGAGGTCCTGAGATCTAAGCAACTTGACCAGAGTCACACAATTTATAACAGTAGAACTGAGATACTAAACAATTTTTAAATTCCTAATTTATGCTACCATACCATGATTCTTCTCCTATTGATATTGCCTCGGTATAAGCCACCCATAAAAGTATAAACATAAAAACAGGAGAACTGACACATTAAGCCAGTTTTTTAACTTTTAATTTCTTTACCAGAGTTTATTAATTTACTCAATCACATTGGAAAGCATCCATTTGAGGAAAGAACACAAAGAATTGGTAAGGCAGGGAAACACATCTAGATGTGGGGCACTGGCAGGCAACAGTGATTGGGCTCCAGTCATTAAGAGGTCAGTATAGTGGTACTGAAAAGCTTAAAGTAAATGTTACTAATATTTTGGGGTCACAGACCTCTTTAAGATAATATTCATGAAAATTTGTGCATAATTTTGGAGTTCAGGGACCTTCTAAACTTCTGAAGTCATGAACACATAGGCTAAAAAAAAACCCACTGCCCAGAAATCATTATAGAAATCTGGAAAGGATAAACATACATTTTTGGACACAATTTACATTTGTCTTTATTACTAGATTTGTATAGGATTATGTCAATCCAGCATAAATTTCAATGATCTTGAAAATAGTTTTTTAGTGTTCCGAAGTGAGAAACGTAACATCTTCACTTGTGAATTCCTAGTGAAATTCCAAGAGGCAGAAAGTCCCCTTGGAGTTAAGAACAAAGCTAAAGTCCTACTTCACCTATTAGCAGAGGAGTAACATAAAGAAGACTATTGAAATCCTTATATCAGTCCTATGAGAATTCATCTGGCAGCAAAATATTCTCAAACATTTCTAACAGAGGTGATTCCATGATCTTTCATCATTTTGTAGTTTAAAAATTGTAGCTTTCCTCGTTATCAATGAGAAATGCCTGTGGAATATTGTCCAAAACCTTTGTGCAACTTACCTTGATGAGTTATGATAAAAAGATGTTCATCATGGATTTTATTTCCTTTTGTTTCACTTTGCAGTTCTTGTGCATTCAAAACTTTTTCCAACTTGAAATGAAAAATAAAAAGCCTGTCTGAAATTGCAGAACTTGGTTTTTATGAACTTTAGTAAGAAGTAGAATATGATAATGACAAATGCTCCTCCAAACTCAAAATTCTCAGAAACCAATCTAGTTTCTTTTAAACAATGGACGAATCTCATCATAAAGAGTGAATTGAATTTGTGATTTTTATTCTTCTCAGAAAATTTCTATTTGGTAGGATTTTATCATAATAAATCCTATTAAGCTCTTTGAGACATCATATCCCTTTTCATGAAATGAATATGATGAAAACTTGAAAACTTGCTGAGCTGACTATGCATTTGGCATTCTTTTATTCCCCTAAAGAGCCTATTCTAAGAATATTTTAACATTCTTTATCAGTTAATCCTTAGAAACTCACCGATGAAGACATCAAGGACTAATCATTTTGCCTCTTAAAAAAAATAGAAGACAAACAGGCTGAAACTTGGCCCAGAATAATCTCCCAATACCTCATTCATTAACATCCCTCTTTATATGTTAATGATTTTAAGAAAATTCTCTGTGTGCCTTTTACATTTCGACTTCATGATAAGAGATTTAAAGGAGAACTTTTTCAAGATACATTTGCAGTTATCTAGGCTGACATTTATTAACCATGTCTTATCTATACAAGTTGCACAATGCCTGTGAATTATCCACAGTGTATCTTATCATGTATACGCCTCCCAGATTCTGGATTCTCTGCTCTTACTTCCACTGGAGATATGAATTTTATCCTATAAGTCTCTTGAATTATTCTAACAAAAGTTGAAAACGTAAAAGTGTTTATGAATAAAAATATCCTTAGGTCCAGAAAACGATTGGTGACTTTCCCTAATTCCAAGAAATAAAATCATAAAAAGTCACTTGGCAGAATTGAGTGCCTAACAATGGACACCAAACCCTGTAAGGACCCTGCCACTTACATGCAGGTAGTTCCCATAGATAAGACCTCCTTTGCTGGCTCTATTCACACCAGTTTGTGATTTGTCTTCTTCGCTGCCTTCTACGGGGAGTTTTTTAAAAGTATATCTGCAAATTTAATAAATCAAGAGGGAAAAATAGTGCTTTAGAAAACACAGTTAACTAATGATATGGGTGATTAAAATTCTCATTGCAAATTTTCTTTAGAGTAGATTGTTAGACAAAGGAATAAAGGTGACAGTTTTCAATGCTCCTTAAATTCAGAAATTAAAATGCTCACACCTGATACTTCTAAAAGCCAAAACCCACTTAGAATAAAGGTAAATACTCACCCAAAGTTGTTTCCTAAAAATGGGCACCCACTCATGGTGAAAAGGCACTGTCTGAGAAGCACGGAGGTTTGACTCTAGGCAGATGCTATCATTGACCTTCCCAGATGTTCTACAGCTGCCTTTTATGTAGCCTGCTTACCCTGCATCAGCCAATCAGCATGCTTCTTGTACTCTTAGCTAACTTCTCATTTCCATTGGTACAGAACTGAACCTCTGTAAACTTTAGAGTGGATTTATGTTGGGCACAGTTCATTTGCTAAGAGTGAGTGATCTGCCAAATTGAGTTGTATGACTTGCCAAGTTCTGCTTTTATATTCAAAGTAACAAACATCCAATGAATCAACAGAGGCCAAGTTAAAAAAATTACATTTATTCAATCCCAAGAAAACATTTGGCATAGTATTAGGATACATAAGATGATGAGCTTGTAAAAAACAAATATGTATTCTCTCAAATTTGAATATTCTTACAGCTTCTAGACCAAAAACTGAAATTTAACACCTCTAGGGAAATTAACTGTATAATAAAGTCTGGGTACATGCTCAAAGCCCACTTCCATTCAATCATCAGAGTTCTTCTGACCTAAATATCATGTAATAATCAGCAGCAGTTAAGCTCTCAACACATTGTATTGGAATTTAAATGAACATTATCAGTTTACTATTCATCTGTGGCATACCAATGACAGGGTAGCTAGCAGTCATCCACATTAGCATACATTGCCTATATAGAATTTTAAAACAGTAGTTCAAGACCAGCCTGGCCAACGTAGCGAAACTCTATCTCTACTAAAACTACAAAAAAATTAGCCAGGCAAGGTGGTGCGTGCCTGTAGTCCCAGCTACTAGGGAGGCTGAGGCAGGAGACTCGCTTGAACCCAGGAGGTGGAGGTTGCAGTGAGCCAAGATTGTGCCATGGCACTCCAGCTTGGGCAACAGAGTGAGACTTTGTCTCAAAACAAAAACAAAACAACAACAACAACAACAACAAGAACCAATAATAGCCATGTGCCCATAATTCTATACAGTGTCAGTGATAAAAATATTCTTCCTTGAAACATCATTTATTAATCTAAGCTCTAAACAATTGCCCCAAGAACAATTAAGCCAGGATAGAAGCTTCATGGCCTTATCCTTAGCATGCCACTGCTACTCACTAAGAACTATAGGCAGAAACAGCACTTAGCCTTTATTTAATCATCTACCATGATGGAATTTTGTCTAATTAGCCAAAGTCATTGGAAGTCAGAAACCTGATTTCTAGTCTTGGCTCTACGACTACCTTGTAATATGAGAAAAACTGACTGAATTTCTGTACATATCAATTTCCTCACCAAAATAGAAAGTGTTTAAGCTGATTATAATCTTCAAGATCCTGACCCAGGTTAAAATCTTGATTTTATTACTGAATAATAAATTATATATCTAGTACAGAAAGATAAACAACATGCAAATGCCATGTTATAATTGAACTTGAAAATCATCAAAACTATATGCTATACCTGTCACATTTCCCTTGAGTTTTTATGAATGATCCTGGAAATTGCCTACACACTGGATAGGGACCTTACCTGAGAGAGCGGTGGAGTCACTGTTGCTTTTCCTGGTGTCCTGGCTTAGAGTGTTTGGAAGCAGAGAACAGTTAACAGCCCCTCTTTCTCTACATAGTTGTTCAACTGGGTACGTGTTTACAGAGAATAATGCTAAATAATTTATTCCACTCTCTTTAAGCCTTTTGAGCTGAGAAGTTTCCTTCACTTATTGGTCAACATACTAGTAAAACAAATAAGGAAACAAATTTTCCTATGAATTGGAAAAAATAGATATTTTAGAAACAAAAAATTTTTTAAAGAAATGACATTTCACTCTTAAGTAGTAGTATCAATTCAATATTTGCTTTTACATCACAAGAACTGATCATTGAAAGACTTGACTTTGGGGCATCAGAGAAACTGCAAGCTAATCTAAAAATAACTTATTTTCTTCATCCAGGAGAGTAACTACAGTGGAAGGCCCCCATACACACACATCCTCATTATTTTTTGCAATAGCATTATCAAATGTATTACTAGTTATATTCTGGTCATCATTTGCCAATACTTAAATTTTGCCACTTCGAACCCAATTTGTCCATCTGATGATAATCTAATTAGGAAACTTTTATTTATAATCACATTTAGAATTTATTTCTTATTTTTATTTTTATTTTTATTTTTATTTTTAGAGATGGGGTTTCACTATGTTGACCAGGCTGGTCTTGAACTTCTGGCCTCAAGCAATCCACCCATCCCAGCCTCCCAAAATGCTGGAATTACAGGCATGAGCCACTGCTCCTAGGCTCAGATTTAGAATTTCTATGACTATAGTATCTACAGCTCCCTATTTATTTATATATTGAATATTTTACACAGACTTTCTGGAAATATACTTTAACTCAAATAATACAATGTAATAGAACCTCAGACATTTAACAGATCAAGAGAGGAGATTCTACGGGTACAGGCAATGATCTGCAGTAACCTTCTAAACCCACTCTATTTCCATATGCACATAATTCTGTGCACACATGGCTTAGAGAAGGAAGATGCTGGAGGCAACACTGGTAGATGAGCATGTTTAAGAAGATGCAAATCGTAACTAATTCTGGGCCTAAAAGTTACCCTAGAAACCATCTAATCTATATTCAGAAGTAAAAATACTAGAAAGCTAAGAGATATAGCAACTTTCTTTTTCAGACATGTAGTAAAAGAATATGAAAATCAGATATAAAGCATTATAACAAAAATCTTTGTCTCTAGGTCTTTCCTCTTGATTTCTAAGGTTAGGGTGCAGAAAAGAGTGAGCCTGCGAGGGTAGAGCAATGAGAATTAGCAGGAACTTGCATTGAGCTAAACTCTGAACGTGAATAGGAGTTTATAAAGATCATCCCTTCAGCCATCACAATATTTCTTTCTACAAAGCACCACATGTGCTCTTCCATAAGATGTTAACTTTTCTTTTTCCATCTACCCTTCACAGCTTAAAACTGCTGCAACATCTTCCTGTCTGCCAATGCAATTTCCCACTCTTTTCCTTACTCAACAGTGGTAGATTGTGGCAGACACAGAAATGCTGACTCAGTAGGGGAATTCTGAAAGGATTCTGCACCCTTCTTCAAATAGCCCAGAGCAACCCACAGTTGCTCCTGACATTGACCTCAATAATTTATTTATGGCTCTTTTCCTGTCTCAACTTCCTTAGTCCCTCACTACTTTCTGGGAACATCTCCCAGATAAATCCCCATCCCCCAAATCCTTATCTCGGGCTCAGACTTTCTTATGCAGAAGCCAATCTAATACATACAGCTCTTGTTCATCAGGAGCTATAATATATTTAGGAATTGAATAATTACTTTTTTTAACAGATTTTTTCCTTTCTAAGCCAAGAAGCATCTGTAAACATAGCAGCCATTCAATAAACTTTAGTTGACAAGATAAATTGCCATTTGGGCTGTGAAGTAGCTTTTTTCTTGTCCTTGTTTTGTTGTTCTAACGTTTTCTTTGATTCCCATAGATGGGAGTCTGAACGGAATTAAAATTCCTTAGCTAGGATTTAAATTTAGTCACACACTTAGGAGGTTTTCAAAGTCTCTTTGATAAAACTCAGAAACAGCCATCAACAACTAACGTTTGCTCAGTTGTAATTATGGCAGGCTTGAGAAAAAGCAGAAAACAAACTTAGGGCACCAATTTCAAGGGAAGAAATTATGGACCAGTGAAAGGACTACTTCATTTATCTCTGTGGATTTAGGATGACTGGTTTTCAAGGGAAAAATAAATGACATTCTTGGAAGATGTATGTAGATAAGGTTACACTAAACACTCTTACAGTTAAGGAAACTGGCCTGCCTCTCACATGGAACACATCACAAAGGAACCAGGAACCAGGAGACCCTTTCTCATCCTGGGCTTTGGAGAAATGCCTACAGATAAATTTTATTTCTTTATTTATTAAAAATCATTAACATTTTAATAAAAATAATTCCAATGAGATTCTAAATAAGTTCCAGCAATTTCAGACATGAGGTTATGAAAACTATTTTTTGGCCATATTTTGGTATATAAACACGTTAACATTCATTTTTTCCTAGTTCAACATGATATATTATCATTGAAAATTTGAAAAGAAATGCTTTTCTTTATATAATTTAATAGTATTTTTAAAAGCAAGTGTTCTATTTGTAAATAAGAAGAGGTTACCAACTATTTTAATAGTATAAATTATATTAAATAAACTTTATAATACAATCATAATGTATTATATAATTTTTTAAAAGTACTAAGTAGCATATTTTATTATCAACTACATAAAAAACATTAAAATGATTTTAAAAGTTTAGGTATTATAAAAAAATTATTTAAAGTTTAGGTATTATTCTCATAATATACAGTTTGAACCATATGAAATTGATGCTTTTGTAGGTTGGAATGGTTAAATAGCAATAATTTTATAGAATTCATATTATTACTATTAAAGTAAATACTAAATACTAAAAATACTATTAAAGGTAGTTCACAAGTCAGAAAAAATTGCAAAATAGAAACATCTGTTCTTTAAAAGGGAAGGGTGTTGCGGGAAGTCAGGGAACCCAAATGGAGGGACCAGCTGGAGCTGCAGCAGAGGAACATAAATTGTGAAGATTTCATTTTAATAAGGACATTTATCAGTTCCCAAATAATACTTTTATAATTTCTTACACCTGTCTTTACTTTAATCTTTTATCCTGTTATCTTCCTAAGCTGAGGAGATACGTCACCTCAGGACCTCTGTGATAATTGTGTTAACTGTACAAATTGATTGTAAAACGTGTGTTTGAACAATATGAAATCAGTGCACCTTGAAAAACAACAGAATAACAGCAATTTTTAGGGAACAAGGGAAGACAACCATAAGGTCTGACTACCTGTGGGGTCAGGCAAAAAGAGCCACATTTTTCTTCTTGCAGAGAGCCCATAAAGGGACATGCAAGTAGGGAAGATATCACTAAATTATTTTCCTAGCAAGGAATATTAATATTAGTATTAATACCCTGGGAAAGGAATGCATTCGTGGGGGGAGATCTATAAACAGCTGTTCTGGGAATGTCTGTCTTATGTGGTTGAGATAAGGACTGAGATACACCCTGGTCTCCAGTACCCTCAGGCTTACTAGAGTGGGGAAAACTCCGCCCTGGTAAATTTGTGGTCAGACTGGTTCTGTGCTCTTGAACCCTGCTTTCTGTTGTTTAAGATGTTTATCAAGACAATATGTGCACCACTGAACATAGACTTTATCAGTAGTTCTGCTTTTTCCCTTTGCCTTGTGATCTTTGTTGGACCCTTACCAGTAGTTCTGCTTTTGCCCTTTGTCCTGTTCCCTCAGAAGCATGTGATCTTTGTTAGACCCTTAGTAGTAGTTCTGCCTTTTGCCCTTTGAAGCATGTGATCTTTGTACCTACTCCCTGTTCTTATACCCCCTCCCCATTTAAAACCTTTAATAAAAACTTGCTGGTTTTGAGCCTCAGGTGGGCATCATGGTCCTACTGATATGTGATGCCACCCCCAGCTGCCCAGTTGTAAAATTCCTCTCTTTATACTGTCTCTCTTTATTTCTCAGCTGGCCGACACTTATGGAAAATAGACAGAACCTACGTTGAAATATTGGGGGTGGGTTCCCCCGATAGAAGGGGGAAGCAGATTCTGATGCTAGCATGTTACATTGATTTCTTTAAATGATCAACAAAATCTGCATACTACCCAAACTTATTAGCAGAAAACTCAAGAGTTCACACATTTACAGCAGACTGTATAATTTTCAGATCTCATTTCCCATGACTTCCCACACAAACACCTAGTGATAAATCTAGAGCATAGGAACTAAGTCCTGAAATCTTTAAATTTTCCATGCTTACAGTGACCTCTCCACCTCTCCACCTCTTGAACTCTCACTCATTCTTTAAGAAACATTTCAGGCCGGGCGCAGTGGCTCACGCCTGTAATCCCAGCACTTTGGGAGGCCGAGGCGGGTGGATCATGAGGTCAGGAGATCGAGACCATCCTGGCTAACAAGGTGAAACCCCGTCTCTACTAAAAATACAAAAAATTAGCCGGGCGCAGTGGCGGGCGCCTGTAGTCCCAGCTACTCGGGAGGCTGAGGCAGGAGAATGGCGTGAACCTGGGAAGCGGAGCTTGCAGTGAGCCGAGATTGCGCCACTGCAGTCCGCAGTCCGGCCTGGGCGACAGAGCGAGACTCCGTCTCAAAAAAAAAAAAAAAAAAGAAACATTTCAAATAGACTTCTTCTGGGATGCTTTCCATGATATCCTCAAAAAGGAAAATTTCTTCCTCCTTGGTGGTTCAACAAGACTTTGTTCTTTTTTTTATTATTTTACTTTAAGTTCTAGGGTACATGTGCACACCATGCAGGTTTGTTACATATGTATACATGTGCCATGTTGGTGTGCTGCACCCATTAACTCGTCATTTACATTAGGTATATCTCCTAATGCTATCCCTCCCCACTCCCCCCACCCCATGACAGGCTCCTGTGTGTGATGTTCCTCTTCTTGTGTCCAAGTGGTCTCATTGTTCAATTACCACCTATGAGTGAGAACATGCAGTGTTTGGTTTTTTGTCCTTGTGATCATTTGTTGAGAATGATGGTTTCCAGCTTCATCCATGTCCCTACAAAGGACATGAACTCATCATTTTTTATGGCTGCATAGTATTCCATGGTGTATATGTGCCACATTTTCTTAATACAGTATATCATTGATGGACATTTAAGTTGGTTCCAAGTCTTTGCTATTGTGAATAGTGCTGCAATAAACATATGTGTGCATGTGTCTTTATAGTAGCATGATTTATAATCCTTTGGGTATATACCCAGTAATGGGATTGCTGGGTCAAATGGTATTTCTAGTTCTAGATCCTTGAGGAATCGCCACACCGTCTTCCACAATGGTTGAACTAGTTTGCAGTCCCACCAACAGTGTAAAAGTGTTCCTATTTCTCCACATCCTCTCCAGCACCTGTTGTTTCCTGACTTTTTAATGATCGCCATTCTAACTGGTGTGAGATGGCATCTCATTGTGATTTTGATTTGCATTTCTCTGATGGCCAGTGATGATGAGCATTTTTTCATGTGTCTGTTGGCTGTATAAATGACTTCTTTTGAGAAGTGTCTGTTCATCTACTTTGCCCACTTTTGATGGGTTTGTTTGTTTTTTTCTTATAAATTTGTTTGAGTTCTTTGTAGATTCTGGGTATTAGCCCTTTGACACATGAGTAGATTGCAAAAATTTTCTCCCATTCTGTAGGTTGTCTGTTCACTCTGATGGTAGTTTCTTTTGCTGTGCAGAAGCTCTTTAGTTTAATTAGATCCCATTTGACAATTTTGGCTTCTGTTGCCATTGCTTTTGGTGTTTTAGACATGAAGTCCTTGCCCATGCCTATGTCCTGAATGGTATTGCCTAGGTTTTCTTCTAGGGTTTTTATGGTTTTAGGTCTAACATTTAAGTCTTTGATCCATCTTGAATTAATTTTTGTATACAGTGTGAGGAAGGGATCCAGTTTCAGCTTTCTACATATGGCTAGCCAGTTTTCCCAGCACCATTTATGAAATAGGGAATAGTTTCCCCATTTCTTGTTTTTGTCAGGTTTGTCAAAGATCAGATAGTTGTAGATAAGTGGCATTATTTCTGAGGGCTCTGTTCTGTTCCATTGATCTATATCTCTGTTTTGGTACCAGTACTATGCTGTTTTGGTTACTGTAGCCTTGTAGTATAGTTTGAAGTCAGGTAGCGTGATGCCTCCAGCTTTGTTCTTTTGGCTTAGGATTGACTTGGCAATGCGGGCTCTTTTTTGGTTCCATATGAACTTTGAAGTAGTTTTTTCCAATTCTGTGAAGAAAGTCATTGGTAGCTTGATGGGGATGGCATTGAATCTATAAATTACCTTGGCCAGTATGGCCATTTTCACGATATTGAGTCTTCCTGTCCATGAGCATGGAATATTCTTCCATTTGTTTATGTCCTCTTTTATT
Organism: Homo sapiens; assembly: GCF_000001405.40. NCBI lineage: Eukaryota > Metazoa > Chordata > Mammalia > Primates > Hominidae > Homo > Homo sapiens. Next base: position 155,895,735 of record NC_000004.12, on the reverse strand, counting down.
TCACTGAGCAGTTGTTTGTAGTTCTCCTTGAAGAGGTCCTTCACATCCCTTGTAAGTTGGATTTCTAGGTATTTTATTCTGTTTGAAGCAATTGTGAATGGGAGTTCACTCAAGATTTGGCTCTCTCTTTGTCTGTTATTGGTGTAGATGAGTGCTTGTGATTTTTTGCACATTGATTTTGTATGCTGAGACTTTGCTGAAGTTGCTTATCAGCTTAAGGAGATTTTGGGCTGAGACAATGGGGTTTTCTAAATATACAATCATGTCATCTGCAAACAGGGACGATTTAACTTCCCCTTTTCCTAAGTGAATAACCTTTATTTCCTTCTCCTGCCTGATTGCCCTGGCCAGAACTTCCAACACTATGTTGAATAGGAGTGGTGAGAGAGAGCATCCCTGTCTTGTGCCAGTTTTCAAAGGGCATGCTTCCAGTTTTTGCTCATTCAGTATGACATTGGCTGTGGGTTTGTCATAGATAGCTCTTATTATTTTGAAATACGTCCCATGAATACCTAATTTATTGAAAGTTTTTAGCATGAAGGGTTGTTGAATTTTGTCAAAGGCTTTTTCTGCATCTGTTGAGATAATCATGTGGTTTTTGTCTTTGGTTCTGTTTATATGCTGGATTACATTTATTGATTTGCGTATATTGAACCAGCCTTGCATCCCAGAGATGAAGCCCACTTAATCATGGTGGATAAGCTTTTTGATGTGCTGCTGGATTCGTTTTGCCAGTATTTTATTGAGGATTTTTGCATCAATGTTCATCAAGGATATTGGTCTAAAATTCTCTTTTTTGGTTGTGTCTCTGCCCAGCTTTGGTATCAGGATGATGCTGGCCTCATAAAATGAGTTAGGGAGGATTCCCTCTTTTTGTATTGATTGGAATAGTTTCAGAAGGAATGGTACCAGCTCCTCCTTGTACCTATGGTCGAATTCGGCTGTGAATCCATCTGGTCCTGGACTTTTTTTGGTCAGTAGGCTATTAATTATTGCCTCAATTTCAGAGCATGTTATTGGTCTATTCAGGGATTCAACTTCTTCCTGGTTTAGTCTTGGGAGGGTGTATGTGTCAAGGAATTTATCCATTTCTTCTAGATTTTCTAGTTTATTTGCATAGAGGTGTTTGTAGTATTCTCTGATGGTAGTTTCTTTTTCTGTGGGATTGGTGGTGATATCCCCTTTATAATTTTTTATTGCATCTATTTGATTCTTCTCTCTTTTCTTCTTTATTAGTCTTCCTAGTGGTCTATCAATTTTGTTGATCTATTTAAAAAATCAGCTCCTGGATTCATTGATTTTTTGAAGGGTTTTTTGTGTCTCTATCTCCTTCAGTTCTGCTCTGATCTTAGTTATTTCTTGCCTTCTGCTAGCTTTTGAATGTGTTTGCTCTTGCTTCTCTAGTTCTTTTAATTGTGATGTTAGGGTGTCAATTTTAGATCTTTCCTGCTTTCTCTTGTGGGCATTTAGTGCTATAAAATTCCCTCTACACACTGCTTTAAATGTGCCCCAGAGACTCTGGTATGTAGTGTCTTTGTTCTCATTGGTTTCAAGGAACATCTTTATTTCTGCCTTCATTTCGTTATGTACCTAGTAGTCGTTCAGGAGCAGGTTATTCACTTTCCATGTGCTTGAGCGGTTTTGAGTGAGTTTCTTAATCCTGAGTTCTAGTTTGATTGCACTGTGGTCTGAGAGACAGTTTGTTATAATTTCTGTTCTTTTTCATTTGCTGAGGAATGTTTTACTTCCAACTATGTGGTCAATTTTGGAATAAGTGTAGTGTGGTGCTGAGAAGAATGTATATTCTGTTGATTTGGGGTGGAGAGTTCTGTAGATGTCTATTAGGTCTGCTTGGTGCAGAGCTGAGTTCAATTCCTGGATATCCTTGTTAACTTTCTGTCTCATTGATCTGTCTAATGTTGACAGTGGGGTGTTAAAGTCTCCCATAATTATTGTGTGGGAGTCTAAGTCTCTTTCTAGGTTTCTAAGGACTTGTTTTATGAATCTGGGTGCTCCTGTATTGGGTGCATATATATTTAGGATAGTTAGCTCTTCCTGTTGAATTGATCCCTTTACCATTATGTAATGGCCTTCTTTGTCTCTTTTGATCTTTGTTGGTTTAAAGTCTGTTTTATCAGAGACTAGAACTGCAACCCCTGCCTTTTTTTGTTTTCCATTTGCTTGGTAGATCTTCCTCCATCCCTTTATTTTGAGACTATGTGTGTCTCTGTACATGAGATGGGTCTCCTGAATACAGCACACTGATGAGTCTTGACTCGTTATCCAGTTTGCCAGTCTGTCTTTTAATTGGAGCATTTGGCCCATTTACATTTAACGTTAATATTGTTATGTGTGAATTTGATCCTGTCATTATGATGTTAGCTGGTTATTTTGCTCGTTAGTTGATGGAGTTTCTTTCTAGCCTCGAAGGTCTTTACAATTTGGCATGTTTTTGCAGTGACTGGTACTGGTTGTTCCTTTCCATGTTTAGTGCTTCCTTCAGGAGCTCTTTTAGGGCAGGCCTGGTGTTGACAAAATCTCTCAGCATTTGCTTGTCTGTAAAGGATTTTATTTCTCCTTCACTTATGAAGCTTAGTTTGGTTGGATATGAAATTCTAGGTTGAAAACTCTTTTCTTTAAGAATGTTGAATATTGGCCCCCACTCTCTTCTGGCTTGTAGAGTTTCTGCCGAGAGATCCACTGTTAGCCTGACTGGCTTCCCTTTGTGGGTAACCCGACCTTTCTCTCTGGCCGCCCTTAACATTTTTTCCTTCATTTCAAATTTGGCAAATCTGACAATTATGTGTCTTAGAGTTGCTCTTCTTGAGGAGTATCTTTATGTTGTTCTCTGTATTTCCTGAATTTGAATGTTGGCCTGCCTTGCTAGGTTTAGGAAGTTCTCCTGGTTAATATCCTGCAGAGTGTTTTTGAAGTTGGTTCCAATCTCCCTGTCACTTTCAGGTACACCAATCAGATGTAGATTTGGTCTTCTCACATAATCCCATATTTCTTGGAGGCTTTGTTCATTTCTTTTTATTCTTTTTTCTCTAAACTTCTCTTCTCACTTCATTTCATTCATTTGATCTTCAATCATTGATACCCTTTCTTCTAGTTGATTGAATTGGCTACTGAAGCTTGTGCATTCATCATGTAGTTCTTATCTTGGTGTGGATGTCCTTTCTGTTTGTTAGTTTTCCTTCTGACAGTCAGGACCCTCAGCTGCAGGTCTGTTGGAGTTTGCTGGAGGTCCACTCCAGACCCTGTTTGCCTGGATATCAGCAGCGGAGGCTGCAGAACAGCGAATATTGCTGAACAGCAAATGTTGCTGCCCAGTTGTTCCTCTGGAAGCTTTGTCTCAGAGAGGTACCTGGCCATGAGAGGTGTCAATCTGCCCCTAAGGGATAAAGAAAATGTGGCACATATACATCATGGAATACTATGCAGCCATAAAAAGAGATTAATTCATGTCCTTTGCTGGGACATGGATGAAGCTGGAAACCATCATTTTCAGCAAACTAACACAGGAACAGATAACCAGACACCACATATTCTCACTCATAAGTGGGAGTTGAACAATGAGAACACATGGACACAGGTAGGGAAACATCACACACTGGGGCCTGTCATGTGGTTTGGGACTAGAGGAGAGATAGCATTAGGAGAAATACCTGATGTAGCTGACAGGTTGATAGGTGAAGCAAACCACCATAGCACGTGTATACCTGTGTAATAAATGTGCACGTTCTGCACATGTATCCCAGAACATGAAGTATAATAATTCAAAAAAGAAAGAAAACAAAAAGAAATTTGAACAAAATTAGAAAATAAGATTGTTGCAGGAAGTCAGGGACCCTGAATGGAAGGACTGTTGAAGCCGCAGCAGAAGAACAGAAATCATGAAGATTTCATGGACATTTAATAGTTCCCCAAATTAATACTTTTGCAATTTCTTACGCCTGTCTCTCACGTTTCTTACATTTATCTCTGAACATAAATTATGAAGATTTCATGGACATTTATCACTTCCCCAATCAATACTCTTATAATTTCCTATGCCTGTCTTTACTTTAATCTCTTAATCCCATCATCTTCATAAGCTGAGGATGTATGTCGCCTCAGGACCGTGCGATGATTGCATTAACTGTACAAATTGTTTGTAAAGCATGTGTGTTTGAACAATATGAAATCTGGGCACCCTCAAAAAGAATAGGATAACAGCGATTTTCAGGGGACAAGGGAGATAACCATAAGATCTGACTGCCTACAGGGCCGGGCAGAACAGAGTCATATTTTTCTTCTTGTAGAAAGCAAATAGGAGAAATATCATTGAATTCTTTTCCTAGCAAGGAATAACCCTGGAGAAGGAATGCATTCCCAGGAATAGGTCTATGGACAGCTGCTCTGGGAGTGTTTGCCTTATGCGGTTGAAGATAAGGGATGAAATATGCCCTGGTCTCCTGCAGTGCCCTCAGGCTTGCTAGGATTAGGAAATTCCAGTCTGGTGAATTCTAGTCAGACTGGTTGTCTGCTCTTGAATCCTGTTTCCTGTTAAGATGTTTATTAAGACAATATGTGCCCAGCAGGACATGGAACCTCGTCAGTAATTCTAATTTCGCCCTGGCCTTGTGATCTTGCTCTTCCTGTCTTCCCTTGTGATC